>NC_000006.12:157949577-158101093 GCF_000001405.40 Homo sapiens
AATGGAAGAAGTCAAATTATCCTCGTTTGCAGATGATATGATCTTATACTTGAAAAAAACCTGAAGAGTCTACACACAAAAGCACTTATAGAACTGATAAATTCAGTAAAGTTACAGGATACAAAATCAACATACAAAAATCAGTAGTGGTTCTATATGCCAACAGTGAGCAATCTGAAAAAGAAACTTTAAAAAGTGATCTCATTTACAATAGCCACACATAAAATTAAATACCTAGGAATTAACCAAAGAAGTGTAAGATCCCTATAATGAAAACTATAAAACACTGATGAAGAATTGAAAAAGACACCAAAAATGGAAAAATATTCCATGTTCATGGATTAGAAGAAAAAATATTGTTAAAATGTCCATACTACCCAAAACAATCTACAGATTCAATGCAATCCCTATCCAAATACCAACAACATTCTTAAATTTTAAAAAATCCTAAAATTTATATGGAATGACAAAAGATGCAGAATAGCTGAAGCTATCCTCAACAAAAAGAACAAGACATTACCTGACTTCAAATTATATGACAAAGCTATAGTAACCAAAACAGCATGACACTGGCATAAAAACAACTACATAGACCAATGGAACAGAATAGAGAACCCAGAAACAAACCCACACACTTGTGAATTCATTTTCAAAAAAGGTGCTGAGAACATATGCTGGGGAAGACAGTATCTTAAATGGTGCTGGGAAAACTGGATATCAATATGCAGAAGAATGAAACTAGACCACTGTCTCTTGCCATACACAAAAATCAAATTAAAATGTATTTAAGACTTAAATCTAAGACCTCAAACTACGAAACTACTACAAGAAAACATTGAGGAAAGTCTCCAGGACATTGGTCTGGGCAAAAATTTCTTGAGCAGTACCCCAAAACCATAGGTAACCAAAGCAAACATGGAAAGATGGGATCAAATCAAGTTAAAAAGCTTCTGCAGAGCAAAGGAAACAATCAGCCAAGTGAAGAGACAACCCACAGAATGGAAGAAAATATTTGCAAACTACCCATCTGACAAGGGATTGATAACCAGAATATATAAGGATCTCAAACAACTCTATAGGAAAAAATCTTATTATCTGATCAAAAAATGAGCAAAATATTTGAATAGACATTTCTCAAAACACACACAAATGGCAAACAGGCATATGAAAAGGTGCCCAACATCACTGATCATCAGAGAAATGCAAATCAAAACTACAATGAGATGTCATCTCACCCCAGTTAAAATGGCTTTTATCTAAAAAGCAGTAACAAATGCCAGTGAGGATTTTGAGAAAAAGGAACCCTCATACACTGTTGATGGGAATGTAAATTAGTGCACCCACTATGGACAGTAGTTTGGAGGTTCCTCAAAAAACTAAAAGTAAAGCTACCATATGATCCAGCAATCCCACTGCTGGGTATCTACCCAAAAGAAAGGAAGTCAGTATATCAAAGAGATGTCTGCACTCCCATGCTAGTTGCAGCACTGTTCACAATCGCCAAGATTTGGAAGCAACCCAAGTGTCCATCAACAGATGAATGGATAAAGAAAATGTGGTACATATACACAATGGAGTACTATTCAGCCATAAAAAGAATGAGATCCTGTCATTTGCAACAACATGGATGGAACTGGAGATTATTATGTTAAGTGAAATAAGTCAGGCACAGAAAGACAAACATCTCATGTTCTCACTCATTTGTGGGAACTAAAAGTTAGAACAAACTCATGGACATAGAGACTTGAAGGATAGTTACCAGAGGCTGGGAAGTGTAGTGGGGAGACTGAAGGTGGGGAGGTGGGGATGGTTAATGGGTACAAAAAAAAATAGAATAGGACATACTATTTGATCACACAACAGCGTGACTATAGTCAATAACAACTGTACATTTTAAAACAAGTAGAAGTGTAACTGGATTGTTTGTAACACATAGGATAAATGCTGGAGGGGATGGCTACCCCATTCTCCATGAGGTGATTATTTCACATTGCATGCCTGCATCAAAACATCTCATGTACCCCACCAATATATACACCTACTATGTACCCACAAAAGTTAGAAAAAAAATAGAGCTAACTAGGTTGGAGGGGAATCTGAGGACTGAGCTAGTTTCAGTGGGCACTGACTGAACCCTGAGAAGGCCACCTGTGTCCCAGGGCCCTGTTCAAATGCCACTTGCCTTCCCAAGTTATGGTCTGAATGTGGGTGTCCCCATAAAATTTACATGTTGGGACCTAATACCCAATGTGATGGTATTAAGAAGTGGAGCCTTTTGGAGGTTGGAGGGAGTGTCCTAGTCCTTTCCACCCCTTCTGCCGTGGAGGACGTGGCAACAAGGCACCATTTGGAAGCAGAGAGGTCTGGCCAGACGCTGCATCTGCGGCACCTTGATTTGGCACATCCCAGCCTCCGCTGCAGTAGCATGGTGAGCTACTATCCAGTCTAAGGTATTTCGTTACAGCAGCTGTGTCCAACTGCGACATCAAGCTTACCTGACCCCACCCCCCACAGCATTGAGTAGCTCCGACAATGTTCCCTGACCTTTGCACACACCTGCCCTTATTCCATTTCTCACCGTTGCTTGCTTATGACTTTATCAAGCTAGCTTCAAATGTGGCTTCTTAAATGTAAAAAGTAAATGGTGGAATTATGCAGCCATTAAAAATTATGTTTATAAAAGTAGTTCTAAAGCAGCAAGGGAAAGCTAATGCCAAGAGCAGAAACACACCTGCAGGTCCAGTTTGTATTTTTGTACAGCCAGTAAGGTTCCTGCTATGTAAAAACAGTGCATGTAAAGAAAAAGATGGAAAGAAACTACTTTGAAAATATTACATTATCTGCTTATATACCTCCTTCTGTCCTTGGCTCGATTCTCTCCTTCCTCTGTACTCGCTTTCTCTTCCTAGGTAATTACAGTGACAGCCTTGATTTCAGGACACCCTTTCCTTGACTCTTTTTTTTTTTGAGCCGGAGTCTCACTCTGTCACCCAAGCTGGAGTGCAGTGGCACCATCTCAGCTCACTGCAACCTCCGCCTCCGGGGTTCAAGGGAGTCTCCTGCCTCAGCCTCCCAAGTAGCTGGGATTAGAGGCACTCGCCATCATGCCCTGCTAATTTTTGTATTTTTAGTAAATACGGGGGTTCCACCATGTTGGCCAGGGTGGTCTTGAACTCCTGACCTCGGGTGATCCGCCCGCTTTGACCTCCCAAAATGCTGAGATTACAGGCATGAGCCACCGCACCCGGCCTTCTTGACTCTTAAATGTGGGTCTGTATAGCAGCCTTTCTTGGTAGCTGCACATCCGCGCCTGTCCTTGTCCACTCACTGTCCCCACCTGGAGGTCCCATGGCCGCCCTGAAACCAACTGTGTCCTGTGTGTGCTCACTCTCTGAGTCATTCCCTTCCTGTTCTGGAGCCCAGGGAGAGGCACCACCCTCCAGTCAGCAGCCAGAAACCTGGGCATCTTCCCCTGCCCTGCTTCCCGTCTATCTCCAAGCCAGTGGGTCTACCATGGAAACATTTCTGTAATTCACCCATGTTGCTCTATCTCTGCCCCTCCTTGCTAGTTCACACCACTGTCATCTCTGGCCTGAATCATTGTGATACCCCTTTAATTATCTCTGCATCCAAACTAGTCCTCTATAAATAACCCATTCCCGCCACTCTAGGCAGCCAGAGGAGCTGCGACAAATGCAAACCAAGTGTCGCTCTGGTGACTCTCAGGAGCAAAGCTGGTTTGGTTTCTTTTGGTGGGGGTGGTGAGAGTTTTGTTTGTTTGTTTGTTTTGGGGTTTTTTTTTAGAGAAAGGGTTTTGCTCTGTCACCCAGGCTGGAGTGCAGTGACAATCACAGCTCACTGCAGCCCTGACCTCCCTCAACTGATTGTCCCACCTCAGCCTCCCCAAGTAGGTGGGGCTACAGGCACCCACCGCCAAGCCTGGCTAATTTTTTCAATTTTTTTGTAGACATGGGGTCTCAGCACGTTGGCCAGGCTGGTCTTGAACTCCTGGCCTCAAGTAGTCCTCCTGCCTCGACCTCCCAAAGTGCTAGGATTACAGGTGTGAGCCACCATGCCCGGCTCAAAGCCAGGATTAACATGGAGCACCGGCAGGTGTCATCTCTCCTGACATCCTGGGCTCCTTCCGTTCTCTGAACCCAGCCTGCTGTGTCCCACCTGGTGGCCTGTCTGCTTGCTGTCCCTTCAGCTAACTGTGGTCCTTCTCAGGCTAAGACATGGCATCTCCTTGAGGCCCAGACCAATCAGTGCAGTCATCACTAGCCCTTATTAGATGGAGTGGATTGAATTTCACCTGACGTTGCTCCCCTCTCTGTCTAAGGAAGGGTCTGGTGAGTGGGATCACGTCAGCAGAGCTCATTTCCTGCATGTGATTCTACTACTACCTTCTACTACTACCCTCCCTTTACCGCTGCACTCAGTCATTATTTCTATCTGATAGCTTAAAAAAAACAAAATAGAAAACCACTACTCATACCTGACCCCCCAAAATATACTGGTAGCTGCTCAGAGGACAGAATTAATTTTAAAAATAATCTAAATTAGGCAAACAGAGCGTGAGAAGCCGATAATCACGCAACTCCCTCCAGAAAAGGAAGTGGAGCAGGCGGGCGCCCAGCTGCAAGCCCTCAGAAGGCTCAGCCTCCAGCGCCAGGACCTGATTTTATTACTAACAAGGTGCGGTCCTCATTCTTTGGGTCTGCCACATGCCTCACGGTAATTTTCCAGGCAAACTATATCACATGATACTGGCTTTACTGTCCAAGCAATAAGCGCAGAGTCTCTGGCAGTTTGGACTTCTCTGAGATTGCACTGCTGAGCACGTAGCTGCGGCGGTCACAGGAACTCACATGCCAAAGAACTGGGAAGAATGTTTTAAAAACCTGGAAAGAACCGGTTTCCTTTTCTGCAGCCTAACAAATACCTCCTTGAGGGAAGTAGGAAGCTTTCAGAACTCCCTCACTATCCAGAGGCTTATCATTGTGTGAAGGATCAGAGTTTGTCAAGGCAAAGAGAATCAAAACTATTTACTCAGGCTTGGAATTGATCAGGTGCTCGGGAGGCTCGGAGCAGGGGAGCGGCGGCTCCTGGACTTTAACCCCCGTGTTTGTGGAAGCAGTGACTATGATGATGATAGGAGAGCTGGCGCCCTCACGCGCTTGTCACCTGCTGCGGGCATCAGTGAGCGCTTGCTGCCGCCTCTGAGATAAGGAGGGCTCTGTAGAAACTCACCTGGGCCACCTCCACTCGGAAGCCCTCCTTTCTTTCCTGCTAGACAAGAAGCGCCTGGAGCAGCCGAGGGAACACACCTGGTGGCAACGCCTGGTTCCCACTTTCGAACCTCAGGATTGAGAGAGGGATGAACGCGGGAAGTCTGAGGACACACTCTGTCCTGCCCTTAACTGTGACTGTCCGAGCCACCTAGGGGGACACGTGGGAGGCAGTCCCAGGGAGGCTGTACTAGAGAGGTGCTGCCCCCAACAGAAGCCGGGAGTCCCTGCCTGGGCCCAAGCTCCTGCCATTCTCTAAGTGATGCAGAGAGGGCCCCACCGCCGGGAGGGGCTTTCTGGCACAGCTGTTCTCGCCCCTGCACTCTGAAGAAGAGTAGATACCTAGATACAGTAAGTAAAGGAAAAGAACTGAGCATTTCTCTCCCTTTTTAGGAGGACCATCAATTTATCTTGGTCAAAGAAGGGAATTTCCTCATCTACCAATTTTCTGCTCATAGATGTATAGAAACGGTAGAATTTTTTAAAGACGGCCAGGCGTGATGGCTCACGCCTGTATTCCCAGCACTCTGGGAGGCCAAAGCGGGCAGATCACCTGAGGTCAGGAGTTCAAGACCAGCCTGGCCAACATGGCAAAACCCCACCTCTACTAAAAATACAAAAATTAGCCAGATGCGGTGGTGGGCACCTGCAATCCCAGCTACTTGGGAGGCTGAGGCAGGGGGAATTGGTTGAACCCAGGAGGCGGAGGTTGCAGTGAACCAAGATTGCGCCACTGCACTCCAGTCTGGGGAACAGAGCAAGACTCTGTCTCGAAAATGAAAAAGAATTTTTAAAAGACCATTTACAACCACCAGTGGAATCGTTATTTCTGCAGGAGTCATTAATTGATGCTTAAACAATTAGGCAAAAGTTCATTTCAAGGTGCCATCGTATGAGCCCACAGATTACTTGTGAATTACAAAGGGAAAAAATGTACTTTTACATTGCAGAGTTCCTGCCCTGCCACACATGCATGTGGAGGATAGTAGTGCAGTTGTACAACAGTGCCTTTGTACTGCTCTAATTTTTTTTTTTTTTCTGAGGCTGAGTCTCCCTCTGTCATCCAGGCTGGAACGTAATGGTGTGATCTTGACTCACTGCAACCTCCGCCTCCCGGGTTCAAGCAATTCTCCTGCCTCAGCCTCCCAAGCAGCTAGGATTACAGGGGCCCGCCACCATGCCTGGCTAATTTTTGTGTTCTTAGTAGAGACAGGGTGTCATCATGTTGGCCAGGCTGGTCTCAAACTTCTGACCTCAGGTGATCTGCTCACCTTGGCCTCCCAAAGTGCTAAGACTACAGGCATGAGCCACCACACCCGGCCTGTACCACTCTAATTTAGTGATTCAACTGAACCTCCTGACACGGGTGCCTCCTCGTGCCCCCTCTGAAACATGCGTGCACTTATCTATGTGCCATGCAAATGGAGTACGTGAGCACCCAGGGACCCTCGATAGATTACCTGGTGCCAAGCGTATTCTTCCCTGCCCCTGTCTTGGAAAAGCAGCCCTACGAATGACAGCCTCCTGACAACTGGTCAGTTTTCCAACAGGATGGTGACTCCCCTCCTTGCCTTCTGCTTTCTTGAATCAAGGGCCTGAAGAGGCCAAGCAAGGTGGCTGATGCCTGTAATCCCAGTGCTTTGGGAAGCCGAAGCAGGAGGATCACTTGAGGCCAGGAGCTTGAAACCAGCCTGGGCAACATAGCAAGATTCTGACTCTACGAAAACATTTAAAACTTCGCCAGGCATGGTGGCGCATGCCTGTAGTCCCAGCTACTTGGGAGGCTGAGGCAGGGGGAATGGCTCAAGCTTAGGGGTTCAAGGCTGCAGTGAGCTATGATTACACCACTGCACTCCAGGCTGGGTAGCAGAGTGAGACCCTGTCTCTAAAAAATAAAAAAAATTAATAAAAAAGAGCTGAAGAGACCAAGCAGCAGCCAGGGCTTAAAGCTTTGAGGGGCTCTTGTGCCTCTGGGTGGAAGCATTTCACTGTTATAGTCATTTCCATTATAGAGGGTAAAGTCTTCACTGTTTCCTTCCTACATACAATTTATTTATATTTGTTTGTTCCTGAACTGGAGTCGTAAAGCACCCAATTATTGTTAGACGGTTTATATTTAATGTGATTATCAACATGGCTGGGTTTAAATCCATTATCTTGCCATTGGTCTCTTATTTGTTCAATCTGTTCTTCATTCCTTTTTTTCCCTCTTTTGAATTGAGTACTTTTTATGATTTTATTTTACCTCCAATAAAACCTCCCTTTTCCCTCTTTGCTATATGTATTTAACTTATCATCGTCTATTTTTAAATAATAGTGCCACCTCATACACAGCTTATGAACCTTACAATATGTTACTTCCATTTTCCCCTCTTGTACCTTATTGTTGTCATATATTTTATTCTACATATACTATAAACTCAAAAATACACTGTTAATATTTTTGCTTTAAACAGTTAATTTTTTTTTTTTTTTGAGATGGAGTCTTGCTTTGTTGCCCAGGCTGGAGTGCAGTGGCGCAATCTCGGCTCACTGCAAGCTCCACCTCCCGGGTTCATGCCATTCTCCTGCCTCAGCCTCCCGAGTAGCTGGGACTACAGGTGCTCGCCACTACACCTGGCTAATGTTTTGTATTTTTTATTAGAGACGGGGTTTCACCGTGTTAGCCAGGATGGTCTCCATCTTGTCTCCATCTCCTGACCTTGTGATCCGCCCGCCTCGGCCTCCCAAAGTGCTGGGATTACAGGTATGAGCCACTGCGCCTGGCCACAGTTAATTATCTTTTAAAGAGTATTTTCAATTATAAAAAAGTCTTTTACATTTACTGATGTGTTTATCATTTCGAATCCTTGTGTACATCCAAATTTCCCTCTAGTGCCATTTTCCTTCTACCTGAGGAGTGTCCTGTAACATTTCTTGGAATGTAGGTTCCCTAGTTAATTAATTCTCTCAGTTTCTGTTTGTCTGAAAAGCTGATTTTGAAAGAAATTTTATGCAGGATAGAATTCTGGATTGATTGCTTTCTTTTTCTTTTCAGTACTTTTTTTGAGACAGGGTCTGGCTCTGGCACCCAAGCTGCAGTGCAGTGGTGTGATCATGGCTCACTGCAGCCTCAAGCTCCCGGGCTCAAGTAATTCTCTCACCTCAGCCTCCCAAGTAGCTAGGACCACAGGCCCATGCCACCACACCTGGCTAATCTTTTTTAAAATTATTTTTAGCAGACAAGAGGTCTTGCTATGTTGCCCAGGCTGGTCTCAAACTCCTGATCCTCCCGTCTCGGCCTCCCAAATTGCTGGGATTACAGGCGTGAGCCTCCACACCTGGCCTCCTTTCAGTACTTTAAGGATGTCACTCTATTGTCTCCTGGCTTGCATAGTTTCTGATGACAAATCTGCCATCACTCTTACCTTGCTCGTTTGTAAGCAATGGGTTTTTTTTTCCCTGACCTGCTTTTTTTTTTTTTTTTTGAGACGGAGTCTCGCTCTGTCACCCAGGCTGGAGTGCAGCAGTGCAATCTCCACTCACTGCAAGCTCTGCCTCCTGGGTTCACGCCATTCTCCTGCCTCAGCCTCCCAAGTAGCTGGGATTACAGGTGCCCACCACCACACCCGGCTAATTTTTTGTATTTTCAGTAGAGACAGGGTTTCACCACGTTAGCCAAGATGGTCTCAATCTCCAGACCTCATGATACGCCCACTTTGGCCTCCCAAAGTGCTGGGATTACAGGCGTGAGCCACTGTGCCTGGCCTTCCCTGACCTGCTTTAAAGATTTTCTCTTTGTCACTAGTTTCCGGCAATTTGATTATCATGTGCCTTAATATAGTTTTCTCCATGCACCTTCTGCTTTGGTTTGGTTAAGGTTCTTGGATCTATGGCTATAAAGTTTTCATTAAATGTGAAAAAATGTTGGCCCTATTTCTTCAAATATTCTTCCTTTCTCCCTCCTTTATTTCTGAAACTGCAGAGATATACATGTTAAACCACTTGATCTTGTCCACAGATCACTGGATTCTCTGTTAATTTGTTTTCTCAATGGGCTTCATTTTTGGACAGTTGCTATTGCTATGTCTTCAAGCTCACTGATGTCTTCTTCTGCAGCATCTCTCTGCTGTTAATCCCATGTCATGTATTTTTTATTCCAGATATTATATTTTTATCTCTAGTAAATTCCATTTGGATCTTTCTTATATTATTAATTTCTCTCCTCATTTATGTTTCTATTTTTCCCTACCTTCATGAATATATGGAATATATTTGTAATAATTGTTTTAAAGTCTTTGTCTGTTAATACCATCATGTATTTTATTTCTGGGTCTTTTCTGTTGATTGATATTTCTCTTGGTGATGTTCATATTTTCCTGTTTCTTTGCGTGCCTGGTAGTTTTTGGTTAGATGTTGGCATTGTAAAATTTTACATTGCTGGGTGCTGGATTTTGTTGTATTCTTTTAAATAGTGTTCAGCTTTTTTTCTGGCATGTAGTTCAGTAATTTGAAATCAATTTGATCCTTTCAAGGTTTGCTTTTAAATTTTATAGAGTGGGATCAGAGCAGTCTCTTTGGGTAGAACTAATTTTGTCTTCCTACCAAGTGGATCCTGCCAGATGCCCTGTATTAAGATATCTTCACACTCTGGCTGGTGATTATATGATCTATTTCCAGCCCTGTGAGTCCCAGGAATTGTTTGGCCTGCCTGTGGAGTTTTGGTGGTTATGATCACTATCCTCACATAGTTTTCTCACATGAGTGCATACAATGTTCAGCAAAGTCTCTCTAGGGGACTCTTCAGCAGACCTCCAAAACAAGCAATTTCTCTCTCTCTCTCTCTGAAACATAGACACACACACCAGACACAGACACAAACACAAACACACACAAACACACACACACACACACACACACACACACACACAAACCCTCCACTATGGTCTGAATGTCCATGTCCTGCCCAAATTCATACGTTGAAATCTTAATTCCTAAGGTGATAGTATTAAGAGGTGGGGCCTTTGGGAGGTGATTAGGTCATGAATGGGATTAGTGCCCTTATAAAAGAGGCCCAAGGGAGCTTGTCTGCTCCTTCCTCCATGTGAGGATGCAGCACACAGTTGCCATCTATAAGGAATGGAACCTCCCTAGACACTGAATCTGCTGCTACCTTGATCTTGGACTTCCCATCCTCTAGAACTGTGAGAAATAAATGTTTATTGTTTATAAGCTACATAGTTTATGGTATTTTTGTTATAACAGTCTGAATGGACTGTGTCTCTCTGTCTGTCTCTGTCTCCCTCTCTCTCTCTCTCTCTCTCTGTAGCTCCCTTCACTCCCACACTTTGCCCTTCAAACTCTAGCCACCTTGGCCTCCCCAAACTCTGATCAGTCTCCTCCATTCAGTGAGACCACTGAGATCTCTTTGGTTTCCCCTCCCTTTCCTGGGCTTAGGAACTGCCTCAGACAGTAATGCGGAGCCCTCATGGGTCTCATCTTGTTTGTTTCTTTTCTCCAGTGATCAAAGTCTTGCACTGCCTGACATCTAGTGTCTGAATATATTTTTCATATATTGGGTCTGGCTTTCTCTTTATCTAAGGATAAGAGAAGGTGTAAACTGCCGTCTGTTACACCATCATGGCTGGAAGTAGAACACTCATGATTTATTTTTATTTTATTTATTTTGTTTTTGAGACAGAGTCTTGCTCTGTCGCCCAGGTTGGAGTGCAGTGGTGTGATCTTGGCTCACTGCAAACTCTGCCTTCCAAGTTTAAGCAATTCTTCTACCTCAGCCTCCTGAGTAGCTGGTATTATAAGAGTTCACCACCACGTTCAGCTAATTTTTGTATTTTTAGTAGAGACGGGGTTTCACCATGTTAGCCAGGCTGGTCTCAAACTTTGACCTCCAGTGATCTGCCTGCCTCAGCCTCCTAAAGTGCTGGGATTACAGGCGTGAGCCCAGCCTGATTTATTTTTAAAATCTAGGGCAAGGGTAGTTTTCCCATTCACAGAGAACATCTTAACAGACATTTCTCAAAATTTGTTCTAATTCCCAAGCATGTGTCAGCAGTCTCTGTAGTAGATCTTACAGCTTTTCTATCCTTTGGTTGTCAGCTTTTCTGAACCCCTTCCATGGCTCATGCTTTCCTGTCTCTGTAAAACCAGACATCACTATGTGATTCACTTTGGCCAGAAAAACATAGCTGGGGAGATGTGTATGGTTCCAGGTGGAAGCATGTCATTGCGATGTTCATCCCTCTAGCTGTCCTCCCACTTCCCATGGTGATGATGGGACTAAGCGTTGGCATAAAGGGGCCGAAGAGTTGCAGCAGCTTAGAAGGCAGAGCCAGCACACAGAGGAGAGACGGCCTGGATGGCCGCTCAGACCTGTAGCAGAATGTGCTCAAGCAAGAAATCAACTCCTACTATGTTGGGCCATTGAGACTTGGAGTTGCGTGTTATGCAGCAGGAACTATTCCTGCCTGTCCTGACTGGTCTTGTCTCTCTTTCTTTTTTGAGCCAGAGTGTGTGCTCACTCTGCCTCTAAACACATGTCTAAAAATGTATTGGTGTAATGAAGCAGGAGTGTTTGAAGATGTGCCATATAGAAAACTATTCATCCACTCTAAAATGCAGAGGAAGAGGAAGCAAAGCAAAACATGAATTTGCAAATGCAAACAAAACAAATGATTTTTGTGAGATTGAATTATTTTGTTGATGTTTAAATCACTTCCAGATGGATCAATTGGTTGCAACTGAGAAGAGATTATTCTTCCCTTGCCACACATCTACACAGAGGGTAGCAAAGTCATTAGCATAAATGGGAGGTATATAGCCACAACAGGAGAGGAATTGACCGCTGGTGAATTAAAATTTTTCTTTGAGGAGCTCCCAGCTCCTAATCCTCTTCTTTTGCATGATATTAACTCTGCATTTCCTAATGTCATTGGGAATTTATTTGTAGTTAAGATTTATATTCCAACCACCTTTAAGGGGTACTATTACAAGTACAAGCTTCTAAAATAGGAATCTTTTCTTTCTTTCTTTTCTTTTTTCTTTTTTTTAGATGGGGGTCTCACTTTGTCACCCAGTCTGGAGTGCAGTGGTGTAATCTTGGCTCATTGAAGCCTTGACCTCCCAGGCTCAAGGACCCTCCCGCCTCAGACCCTGAGTAGCTGGGATTACAGGCGCACCGCACCGCACCCAGCTAATGTTTGTATTTTTTGTAGACGGGGTTTCGCCATTGTTACTCAGGCAGGTCTCAAATCGCTGGGCTTAAGCAATCCACCCTCCTCAGCCTCCCAAAGTGCTGGGATTACAGGTGTGATCCATCACACCTGGCCTTAAAATAGGAATTTGTCACCTGTGGTCCAGATAATTCTGGGGGGTTGGGGGAAGGTGTACCAATGAACCATGTGAGACTTTAGGCAAATTGTTCAAGTGCATATTTTACATTTTTTCTGGGGAAAGGATTTGTACCTGTCATCAGATTCTTAAAGATCTGGGTGACTCAATAAAGGTTAGGAGCCACTGCCTTAAAGACAAAGTCAGGCCCGGTGCGGTGGCTCATGCCTGTAATCCCAGCACTCTGGGAGGCCGAGGTGGGTGGATCACTTGAGGCCAGGAGTTTGAGACCAGTCTGGCCAACATGGTGAAGCCCCGTCTCTATTAAAAATAAAAAAATTTAAAAAAAAACCAAACGGGCATCGTGGTGTGTGCCTGTAATCCCAGCTACACGGCAGGCTGAGGCAGGAGAATCACTTGAACCTGGGAGGAGGAGGTTGGAGTGTGCCGAGATCGCATCACTGCACTCCAGCCAGGGTGACAGAGTGAGACTCTGTCTAAAAGAAAAAAAGACAAAGTCAGTTTCCATACCATACCAGACTTTCATTTCATATTTCATATTTCATCAACCACATCCTGTTATTTTTCTTGGAACTGCTTCTCCTCCTCTCCTTTTTCTGACTACACACGCGCTGAAGGAGTGTGTCATGGAGAAGCAGGGATGGATACTTTCACAGGTCAGGGGAGGTCAGTTTCCTCTTAGTCCTCAAAGGTGCGGGCTGATTAGCAGGTCAGCTGTCTGAGCAAGACAGTATTGAACCCAAGCCACCACTGTGAAGGGCGCCCGGAGGATCTTTCTGGCGCAGAACAGCTCCGGCAAGCGACAGCCAATCCAAGATCTTTGCTCACCCTCTGGCGCTCAAGAAGGGGAGAGATGGCAAGTAGATGAGCCTCAAGGAGAAAGGAGAGAAAGTCTGTGCTGAACAGGTGTGTTCCCTTTCAAAGCCAATTGCCCTGTTTGGCTCAGTGAGGAACTTTAGGTTTTTGGATGAAGGGTTTTAGAAACAATGGGGAACGTTGTGGTGGCAAAGAGGATGAAAAGTATAGCCAACAGCAGAAGTAGTGAGATTTCTATAAACATCTTGGCACTGAGAGGCAGAGAAAGCTGATTTAACTAATTATGAGCAAACCCTTCCGGAAGTAAAGAGAGTGGGAAAATTCTGGCTGTCTGGTCAACATTACTGTCTAAATAAATCCACGCAGGCCAGCAGTGGGCCACTGGGTATCGCTCAGGCAGGAAGCAAGTTGGCCTTAAAAACAGCTGCAGCTCCTGAAATGGGGCCAGGCCTGGAGTCTTCCTGCTCACATGCCACCAGGTCTTTTTTTTCTTTTCTTTTTCTTTTTTTTTTTCTTTTTTTTTTTTTTTTTTTTTTTTTGAGACAGAGTCTCACTCTGTAGCCCAGGCTGGAGTGCAATGGCGCCATCTTGGCTCACTGCAACCTCTGCCTCCCAGGCTCAAGCCATTCTCCTGCCTCAGCCTCCCGAGTAGCTGGGACTACAGGCAACTGCCACCATGCCTGGCTAATTTTTGTATTTTTAATAGAGGTGGGGTTTCATCATGTTGGCCAGGCTGGGTCTCAAATTCCTGACCTCAGATGATCCACTCACCTCAGCCTCCCAAAGTGCTGAGATTACAGGCGTGAGCCATCGTGCTCGGCCCACTGAGTCCGAATATATCAATTTACTTAAAAACACACACCGTGGGGGCACTTTTATAGGACAAAAGCCATGCTCTGGTTGAAGATTGAGCAGAATACCTTTTTAAGGTGCTACAGAAGTGAGGACTCCAAAGACGGAAGGGAGGTGGCTGACCTCGGACAGAGCTCTATTTTCCTCTTTATCGTGCACACGAAACCGCGGCAGATCCTTTTTTTTGCTCTCATTTTTATTATGTCTTACAAGGATTCGTGTTCGGTTTTGTGGTTAAAATAGTCACATAGCTTGATCTGCAAAAGTGCTGTAATATTTTTTCATTGCTATTGGCTTTTTATTTCACTCTCCCTTTTTTTCCACATTTGCTGTAGAAATCTATCCACGGGTACAGTGGTTAAGTTGCTGTTTCTAGAGCTATGGTGAGAGGAACAGCGATCTGTGCATTAGTCAGCAAATGAGGACACCCTCTTAACTCTGCTGAATTAGACAGCAATGCAGTAGACAAACAAGTTGTCTCAAAGAGATAAAATATGAAACCAGAGAGGCAGTGTGGCCAACAGAAAAAACAATGGGTGAGGCTGGGTGCAGTGGCTCACACCTGTAATCCCAGCACTTTCAGAGCCTGAGGTAGGAGGATCACTTGAGTCCAGGAGTTGGAGACCAGCCTGGGCAAAAAAGTGAGACCTCATCTCTACAAAAGATAAAAAGTTAGGCACTTGTGGTCCCAGCTACCTGGGAGGCTGAGGTGGGAGGATTGTTTGAGAACAGGAGGTTGAGGCTGCGGTGAGCCCTGTTCACACCACTGTGCTCCAGCCTGGGCGACAGAATGAGACCCTGTCTCAAAAATAAAATGAGGCCGGGCGCAGTGGCTCATGCCTGTAATCTCAGTACTTTGGGAGGCCAAGGCGGGAGGATCACTTGAGGTCAGGAGTTCAAGACCAGCCTGGCCAACATGGCGAAACCCCATCTCTACTAAGAATACAAAAATTAGCCTGGTATGGTGGCGCACACCTGTAGTCTCAACTACTTGGGAGGCTGAGGCAGGAGAATGGCTTGAACCCGGAAGGCAGAGGTTGCAGTCAGCCAAGATTGCGCCATTGCACTCCAGCCTGGGTGACAGAGTGAGATTCCATCTCAAAAAATAAAAAATAAAATAAAACAACAACAATCCACTAGGCGAGCAGTTTGGAGACTCAGTGCCTCACAGCAATCCTATCAGGACTTCAGCATTCTACACAAATCAGAAATAACTCCTGTCCTATTTACTTTACCATGATTGCCCTGGAGAGGAAATACGTGGAAAAAAATGAAAATAGGAGGTATATTTTCATAGGAATACATTTTAATAGGAATCATAGTATTATCATAAATTTGGAGAAAGAATTTATAACGAAGTTTCTAAGGCAGTGCTAAGCCTTACACTAAAAGAACAAGACTGATTATCAGATATTGGCTGCACTAGACATGGAGGACATTGTTGGCCATCTGACCCAAACTCATTCATTCCTAACTGCTTTCTCTCTTGTCCATCTCAACTGAAAAGGCTGCAAAAGTTTCCTTTGTGTCTAATGGAGGCCACATGACACCATTCTGGCCGAAGAGTCTTAAGTAGACATTTGTTGTGGACTTGCAGAGAGAGAAGCTTTTGCCTTTTTCTTATAAAAGGGACAGATACAGTTGGTGTGAATTCCTCTCTTCTTTCTACCTTGAATATTGCTGTAATGTCTGGAGCTGGAGCAACTATTTTGTGATCGTGAGGCAACAAGCCAACATGCTAGGTATCATGAAGAGAAAGAACCAGCTTGCTTGGGTCTTTGATGACACTGAGGAGGTGCTACCCCAGCTCTGGGTGGCCTACCTGGAGACTTCTTGTTTATTTAAGACTTTTTTGGTGAGCGGAGGCAGGTGGGTTTTTTTTGTTTGTTTTTTGTTTGTTTCTTTTTTTTGAGACAGAGTCTCATCTTGTTGCCCAGGCTAGAATACAGTGGCAGGATCTTGGCTCACTGCAACCTCTGCCTTCCAGGGTTCAAGCGATTCTCCTGCCTCAGGCTCCTGAGTAGCTGGGATTACAGGTGCCTGCCACCACACCCAGCTAATTTTTGTATTTTTAGTAGAGATGGGGTTTCACCGTGTTGGCCAGGCTGGTCTCGAGCTCCTGACATCAGGTGATCCGCCCACCTCGGCCTCCCAAAGTGCTGGGATTACAGGCGTGAGCTACCACACCCGCCTATTTAAGACTTCAATAGTTGAGTTTTCTGTTACTTCCAGCCAAAGCATTCTAAAGTACACCTAATTCCAAAGTACACTTTGTTCCTGATAGTATGAAGCGCTATAATATGTTATAGGCTATATATTTAGACTTAACTAAATTGATTTTTCTTAAAAGGAAATTACCATATAGTAATTTGCAATTTTGCTTTACTTTTCAAAACTATATGATGAAGCAAAATGTAGGAATAATTTTTTTTAATTTCTATTTTGAACATTTTTAAACATACATAAACATCGTAAAAGGACTCCTTTCTCAGCCGCTCCAGCCACAGTCACGGCTCAGCCTGTCTCCTCCCTCCAGGGCAGGCGAGCTTGCTCCCACCCAAGGCACTCCCTTTCTCCATGGCACACCTAGAATTGCCAGAAAGGTCTTCTGGATGTTCCATCAAACCTTTCCGCCCTGTAACTTTTTACTTCGGTCTCTGAAGTGACAATGTGCAGTGTGCAGGCCTTTTTATAAAATAGTCATGGCATTTTCTCCCCATGTGAATCTTGCAGGCCAATCAGAAAAGGGGTATTTCTGGAGAAGGTTAAGGACAGACAGGAAGGAGGCCTGCCAGCCCCCGAATCGAGGGCACATTGGGAGTCCTGTTCCTCCTTCTGCGAGGGAACGCTGGGGAGGAGGCGCTCGGCAGCGGTGCCCTCCCTTCTTCCCTGCCCGTCTGTTGGCCCAGCTCCCATGCTGGGCCTGGGGGTTCAGGGACAGACCTGCATTGTCAGAGGTCCTGGTGAGCTTCCTCAGTTGACAACAATGGAACAGCCAGACCCCAGCCTGAAAACTCATCCTGTCCCTAGTAGGTTCCCCTCCAATGTGGAACTGATTTGAACAATGTTTCTATTAAGGACAAGCACACCTTGCTGTTCTTGGCATGTGAAAGCCCCCTTCTTTCCCACATACCTGGGACAGGTGTGCTTTGGGTTGTTTTTCCAGCTGTGATGCTGGGTTGGGGCCTGGGGCCTGGCCGACAGGCTGGCACACCTGTGTGGGGAGCTTGGTCTCGGCCACGGAGGTGAATAAAGCTCCCCGGTCCCCAGAGCCCACAGGCACCTGCAGTCTCTATAGCAACCCAACCAACAGGCTTGTTGACTTTCAGCAACAGACCAGGAGGAAGGAACATGCAGGGACCCAGGGACCTGGACAGAGGGAGGCCCCACACTCTCCAACCCCAGGGCCTAGAGTTTGCAGAGTGTGAACGGTAGCCTGTGGCTGCCAGGCACACTCTGAGCAGGAGTAGAGAAGATAATTTGTGTCTGGAAAGCCCCTGTTCCTGGGCTGACTCGGGTACAATCCTCTGAGAGATCAGTCTCTATATCCAGTCGTAAGGCTGTAAGTCAAGTCTTGCGTGTGTGTAGATATGGACAGATAGTGCCTCATATGCCTTTTTTTTTTTTTTACAAAAACTAATAACTTATAATGAACTTCCAAACCTACCCTTCCTATTCACAGCTGTCCAGCACCTGTCCCACCCAGCGGCACCCAGACTGGCTTTCCCAGGGAGCTGAGCAGAGGGAGCTCAGTCCTCACCTGTGCCCCATGGGTCTTCCTAACACCTCCAGGGGTGTGTGGGGTGGGGATTGTGGGGGGGTGATGTTGGCAAAGCGCCCCAGCTGCTTCACTGATGACTGACACCAGGGAACTCGAAAGGGACGGACTTGCTTTCCTCCTGACTGGTGGCTGTTGGCGCGCTCTGATGGACAGCCCCTGTTTTTCCTGGCCTTAGACTGCCTAGGCTCACGAGTCCTGTTGTCTCTTTGAGGCTTCTAAACGCCAATTAAAATAAAAATCCCATTCTCTTTGCAGAATTTGGGAGGCTTGGGCTTCAAGTGCACTTCTTAGATAAATGGTCTTGTTCATCTAGAACGTTCCACAGATGGCCACTGCAATTCCTTTTTTTTTCTAATTGTATTTTATTTTACTTCAAGTTCCAGGATACATGTGCAGAATGTGCAGGTTTGTTACATAAGTCGATGTGTGCCATGGTGGTTTGCTGCACCCATCAACCCATCATCTAGGTTTTAAGCCCCGCGTGCACTAGCTATTTATGCTGAAGCTCTCCCTCCCTGGCCACTGTAATTCTAAAACATTTTTCGTAAGATCTTTTATACTGTAATTCTAAAATGTGATGACACCGTGACTCTAAAATATCTTTTGCGATTTTGTAAATATTTGCAGCTTCTAGGGACATATTCTTTTTTTTGGGTGGGGGGGGACGAGGAACGCTATTTCCTGACATGGCAGAAGGGCAAAAGAGAGTGAATGATGCACTCTCTTAAAGCCTCTTTTTTTTTAATTATTATACTTTAAGTTCTGGGGTACACGTGCAGAATATGCAGGTTTGTTACATAGGTATACACCTGCCATGGTGGTTTCCTGCACCCATCAACGCGTCATCTACGTTAGGTATTTGGGGCCATATTATTATACATGGAAAGGCAGGCATGGCCAGAAATTAAGGATCCCGTTTCTGGCTCATACAATCCTTCCACAGTGTACTTCATTGCATGAACATTTTCTTGCAGCTGGTGGGTGACCTAATATCAACTAGCCCATTCCATGACCAGCTAAGCCTTTCACAGAAGTCTTATTCTTTTTCTTTTTTTTTTCTGAGACGGAGTCTTGCTGTGTCTCCCAGGCTGGAGTGCAGTGGCACCATCTCGGCTCACTGTAACCTCCACCTCCCGGGTTCAAGCTATTCTCCTGCCTCAGCCTCCTGAGTAGATGGGATTACAGACGTGCGCCACCACACCAGCTTATTTTTGTATTTTTAGTAGAGATGGAGTTTCGCTATGTTGGCCAGGCTGATTTCGAACTCCTGACCTCAGGTGATCCGCCGCCTCAGCCTCCCAAAGTGCTGGGATTACAGGCATGAGCCACTGCGCCTGGCAGGAGTATTGTTGGTAAGTGCTCCAATAGTGGTTAAGTGCCTGAACCATGCCCACCAACCAAATTATGGCTTTGGCTCTGAGATACCCTTGATCAACTTAGCCAGTGATTTCCCGCAACCTAAGCATGCAAGAAAAAGAAATGAAGAGGATAGAAACACAAATACCTGTAGATTCTGAAAGTCAGATTTCTTGGCCCCTGTAAGAATAACCACTCACTGCAAACACCGCTAGTTGCCTTTAAGACTGCAGCTCTTGCCAGTGAGTCATCAGCCACAGCAACCTGGAGGACAAGTGCCCTCTCACAGCGCAAACTACCCTGGGGATCCTTTCCAAGGTCACAAACTAATCCTTAATTCAAAAGCCAAAAAGATCAGGGGCTTCATTGCAAAAAGAGCAGGTCTAATTTGAGAAGAACTGACATCCCTCTGGACTGCATAAGGACAGGAGACCTCAAACAGGGCCAGCAGGGCCTCTTCTGCATTTCTTAAGGGATCTTGGGAGTTGTCAGTAGTCTCTTTTGGGTCCCTTTGCAGTCGCCAGAACTGTCAAAAGACAGAATAACAACCAATTTAGATGTAGATCTAATTGGCTCTTATTCAGGAGTCATGAATCAGGGAAACCACCCTTATACAAAATAAAACAAGGCCGGGTGCGGTGGCTCACGCCTGTAATGCCAGCACTTTGGGAGGCTGGGGCCGGCAGATCACCTGAGCTCAGGAGTGCGAGACCAGCCTGGCCAACATGGTGAAACCCCGTCTCTACTAAAAATACAAAAATTAGCTGGGCATGGTGGTGGGTGCCTGTAATCCCAGCTACTCAGGAGGCTGAGGCAGGAGAATCACTTGAACCCAGGAGGTGGAGATTGCAGTGAGCCGAGATGGCACCACTGCACTCCAGCCTGGGCGACAAGAGTGAAACTCTGTCTCAAAAAATAAAATAAAATAAAAGCTTTCACTGGGCAATAGCAGAAAACTGGGTTTTATAAAATGGCAACAAGGAAACAGAATAGGAAAAAAAACTGGTTAACTTTTTTCGTTACTTTTTTTTTGTAAGGGTTAAAGCAGAGAGCAGCTCCTCGTTACATGGACTCAGATAGACTGGAATCTCCTGTTTTCAGGAAAAACTGGTCTGGTTTGGGATCTATCTGCCTCCTTAAAGCTTCATTTGACTTTGTGGCATTTAGCATTAGTGACTTCACTTTGGTTTTGTCTGGTTTGTTGGGACCTAGTGCCAGAGCTCAGGCTGAAACAATGTCTTCCATAAATTTTTTTTTTTTAACAATTCCAACACCCCAAACAGTGTTGGGAGAAAATTCCACAGTCCTGCAGATTGGCTTCATTTGACATTGACAAACAATCCTTGTTTTATTATTGTGTTTGATTATTTATTTATTTTTAGAGATCGAGTTTCGCTCTGTCACCCAAGCTGGACTGCAATAGCACGATTTTAGCTCACTGCAGCCTCAAACTCCTGGGCTCAAGCAATCCTCCTGTCTCAGCCTCCTGAGTAGCCAGGACTACAGGCATATACCATCACACCTGGCTAATTTTTAAATTTTTTGTAGATATGGGGTCTTGCCATGTTACCCAGGTTGGTCTCGAACTCCTCGCCTCAAGTGATCCTCCTGCCTTGGCCTCCCAAAATGCTGAGATTACAGACATGAGCCACTGCACACAGCCAAAGCACTGCATGGTCGATGAGAAAGGTATAGTGGGAAGAGTGTAGGGGGCTGTGGGGTGAGGGGAGGGCTTCCTTTTTTGGTGGGAGCCACTAGAGCACATTTGTACCCTGCTGGGAATGAGCCACCCAGGAGAGAGGGAGAGATGAGTGCTGTGGGCACTGGGATGAAAGAAGGGACACAATCCTCAGGGAGGGAGAGAGAGCAAATGGCTGGGGTGAAGGAAACAGGGACTTTGGAAGAAGATGATGGGAAAATGTTGGCACCCTGGAAAATATCGTGAGGCAGTTCTTTTCGGTTGACTCTATTTCTCAGGAAAGTATGAGGCAAGACAGATTGCTGAGATGAAGGAGGTAGAGGGAAATAGGAAATGTGAGGAAAGAGGAAAAGGTTCACATCATCATTCTAAAGGAAACGAGCTTAACTGTAAAACTTCTGAGATTAAAAGGCAGTTACATTTTGAGATCCTGGGGGTAAAATGAGTAGATGTCATAACACCAACTGTGGTCTTGAAATTCCTTTTTCCACCAAAAAGAATCAAGACTTCTTGTAAAAATGGTCGATTTCATGTCTAGAGAAAAAAAAATGCACAAGATGAGGTTGATACTGCTATACCAGAAGGCAAGGAAACCATCAAAGGCCATTGGGTCATGTCAGAAGGACCCAGGAGCCACCTCAAAGAGGCTCTCACTGGCCAAAGAGGGAACATGTGAGCATCAGTCAGAATAGTAATGGCGATGGACTGAAACACATCAAATATGTTTAAACTCTGAGTTCAGAAAGACAGGAAAACAACTCATTATTCTGAACACCAGGAAACAGAGGAAAAGAGTCCTATTCTACCTGCTTTATTTTTGTTTGTGTCACCATTGGGTAAACAAGTAGCAGAAGAGAATTTTTCCATTTATAGAAGAATTTTAGCTACTGAATGAAGAAGGAATGACAGAATTGGAACATAACCATTTCACAAGGATTAAGGCATTGATGATTAATGGCTGCTATATCACAAAGAGAAAATCAGACACAGGCTTCCTGGTGGAGGAACACACCACCACCCATGAAACGGAATCTAATGAAGCTTCTAGATCCAGCCACCGAGCTACAGATGAAACACAGGGCAAAGGAACTGGCTAAACAACATCACAGCGACATGCTCAGCAAAATCCGGGCTGGGGAGGATGGCTGGACACACAGCTTCGTTTTTTTCAACAAATAAATTGCAAGGAGATTAAAAAAAAGAAGTAGAGGGGAACTAGATATTAAAAAGGACATATCAGTTATTTTGTGTAAGCATTATTTCAGTTCTGATTCACACAAATTTATGACATTTATGAAATAATTAGAAACATGAACTCTAACTGATAACATTAAATAATTACTGCTTTGAAAAATGACACCAGCCTGCAAAGCTATGCAATTTCTCCAGTAACTTTAAGGATTCAGAGTTCAAGGAGGCTACTAAAGAAATTCATTGGAGGTTGAAGTTTGGTTGAATAAATGAATTAATAAGTTAAGAATATTGGGATGTTTTGCCTTAAATATTCATGGGTTTTTAATATCTAATATAATATTTATATTAAAAAGTACTTTGAAAAACTGCAAAGTTTTATTCAAAAATTAGAGCTAAAATCTTGGAGCGCCAGAAAGACAGAGAGGCTGAATCAATCCGTTCTTTGCTGATGCATCAATTTACTTTGCTGGCATAATTATGGAGATCATATTTTTCTGGTTTTTTGTTTGTTTGTTTGTTTGTTTGTTTGTTTGTTTGTTTGAGACAGAGTTTCACTCTGTCGCCCAAGCTGTAGTACAGTGGCAGGATCTTGGCTCACTGCAACCTCTGCCTCCTGGGTTCAAGTGATTCTCATGCCTCAGCCTCTTGAGTAGCTGGGATTAGAGGTGTGTGCCACCACGCCTGGCTAATTTTTGTATTTTTAGTAGAAACGAGGTTTCACCTGTTGGCCAGGCTGGTCTTGAACTCCTGACCTCAGGTGATCTACCCCCCTTCCCCTTGGCCTCCCAAAGTGCTGGGATTACAGGCGTGAGCCACTGCTCCTAGCCAGAGATCATACTTTTCTGAACCTCCAAAAGGAACATGTGGTCTGACAAAAGGATGTTTTCTAGTTTATGAATGTATTTAGATGAAAACTCTTATTAAGGTATAAAAACTTAATCATAATTAGTTGTACATTTAATGAATCTGCTTTAAGGAAAGTGCAAAGTTACATAAAATTGAAATCAACTCAGAACATCACATGAATTATCGCCTTCATTATGTTCTGCATGAGTTAGACCTTAGGGAACTCTTTGGTGACTTCACATTTCAGAAGTGGGGGAACTCAGGATAGTCCAAGAAGAGCAAGTGTAATGAGAGCAGTGGATGCTGGGAGTCTGAGGGGCCTTTACAGGGGTCACCGGGAGAAGCCACGGAGGAGCCAGTCAGAATCACTGTCTCCAAGTTGGCTGCGTGCTTTTCTTCTTTTTTCTTTTTTTTTTCTTTTTTTCTTTTTATTTTTATTTCGAGATAGAGTCTCACGCTGTCGCCCAGGCTGGAGTACAGTGGCACAATCTTGGATCACCACAACCTCTGCCTCCTGGGTTCAAGCAATTCTCCTGCCTCAGCCTCCCAAGTAGCTGGGATTACAGGCGCCCACCACCATGCCCAGCTAATTTTTGTATTTTTAGTAGAGATGATGTTTCACCATGCTGGCCAGGCTGGCCTCGAACTTCTGCCCTCAGGCGATCTGCCCTGCCTCGGCCTCCCAAAGTGCTGGGATTACAGGTGTGAGCTACTGTGCACAGGCAGGCTGTGTACTTTTCGCGATCTCAAGTTGATAACTAGATCCTCACATATACAGAGGGTCAAGCAGGAAGAAATGGGCTGTGAAAAAGCACTGGTGCCCCCCAGCCTTCCTTCGAGACTGCTCTTATAGGGTCAGCAACGACCTCCACGTTGCCAAATCCCAAGGACAATTCCCAGACCTCGTCCTCCTGGACCCCTCACAGCCTTGGCCATCACTGACCACTGGCTGCTCCCTGAAATGTTTCCTTCCATTGGATCCAGGACACTGGGATCCTGCTGGTCATCGTCCTCCTTCACCGGTCTCCTACTCAGTGGCCGGTGCCGGTTCCTCTTCCTCTCCCACTTGTCAGAGCGCGCCAGGGCACGGGCCCGGGCCTCTTCCCTTTCTGATCAGCATTTGGCCCTTGGTAAACTCACTTAGGCTCAAGGCTTTAAATGCTGTCTGTGTGCTGATGTTGAAGAGAAATGGGGGCTATGGTCCAGATGGACCCCCAGGCCAATCACCCATAACCGTATAACTAAAACTGAAGTCATCCCGATTTCCCCAAACGCTAGCTCTAACCATAGAAACACAAAACATAAGCTTTACAACCTTGTCAGCATGATTCAATGAACTGTTGTGAATGGGGCTTCCTACCATGTTTGGTTTGCAAACAATTTGCAACCCAGTTTGCAAATTATTGTTTAGTATGCACAGTACACTTCTAAAATTGTAATATTTTATCTGATTTTATTTTTGACACCGATGACCTCCATATTTTCATCTCTGTCCAGATCTCGCCCTTGGACCTCAGGCTTGCATACTCTACTGTCCACTCAACACCTGCGACTGAATGTGTAATCTGCGTCTCAAAACCAGCCTGCCCCAAATTGCCCGCTCCACCCCCAGCCACCTGCTCCTCCCCATGCAAACTCGTCTCTGCTGATGCAACGCCATCCTTCCAGTTGCCCTGACCAAAATCTCCATCTTCCAAACCCCTGTCTTTCCCTTACATCCCACATCTGCTGTAAAAGCAACTCCTGCTGACTCACCCTTCAAAAATCTAGCCAGAATCCAACCGTTTCTCACCACCCCGCCACCATCAGCCTTGTTCTCCCACCCTGGGCAACGGCAGCAGCCTCCTTCCTGGTCTCACCTGGTCTCCCTGCCTCCACCCTTCCACTCAAGTTTCAACTCAGCAGCTAGAATGCTTGGTGAAAACATAAATCTGAGCATGTCTCTTTCTCTGCCCTGTCACTCAGCATAAAGGCCCAAGTTATTATAGTGGCCAACAGCCTGGGCCCCTTTCCTCCTCTGGCCTCCTCTTCAACCACCTCCCCCTGCTCCCCGGGGTTCCTCTTCCTCCTCCCAGTTTTTCCCTGACATGCCCTGCCCTCAGATGCCCACACGGCTCGCCCCTCACTTGTTTCATTTTTCACTCAAATGCCACTTCCCTGCAAGGCCTCAGCTGTCCCCCATTTAGAGTTCTGCACCCCCTTTTCCCCACTCATTTGTCTTCCATGGCACTACTGCCATGAGCACATGATGTACTTTGTTTGATTTCTTTGTTTGATTTCTTCTCCGTACCAGGGATTTTTGTCTGTTTTCTTTGTTCCTGTATCCCCCAGCACCTGGAACAATGCTTGCCGTATAGTAGGTGCCTAGTAAATATTTATTCAATCAATCCAGCAAGCAGCATAAGAATCTCTGCAATGGACAGCCCCAGAAGGTTGTGAATCCTCCACTCCCACAGAGATCAGATGGTAGGAAGGAGATCCACTTACTCATTGCACAAGGACTCCTGGCTGCCTAGCAGGTGCCAGGCACTGTTCTAGGCACCAGGGATACACCACGAACAAATAGGACTAAACAAAGCAAAACAGAAGAAACCCTGCACAGGAGCTTACCTGACAGGGGGAGACCTGGATGACAACAGGGTAAACCAGTCAAAGATTTATTATAATAGAGACTAATAAGCACTAAGGAGAGAAATCAAACAGGGAAAGACATGAAAAGTTGGGGGTGAATTTGTCTGCTCAGGCTGCCAGAACAAAGTACCAACAACTGGGTGGCTGAAAGAGCAGACATTTATTTTCTCAGTTCTGGAAGCTGGAAGTCCAAGATCAAGGTGCTGGCAGGGTTGCTTTCTTCTGAGGCCTCTCTCCTTGGCTTGTGCAATATGGCTTTCTTCTCCCTCTGTCCTCACATGGGCTTCCCTCTGTGGGCACATGTCTGCGTCCAAATTTCATCTTTTTATGTTTTATTTTTAGATTTTTGTTTGTTTGTTTGTTTTGTTTTGAGACAGGGTCTTGCTCTGTCAGCCAGGGCGGAGTGCAGTGGCATGATCTCAGCTCAGAGCAACCTCATACTCCTGGGCTCAAGTGGTCCTCCTACCTCAGCCTCCCAAGTAGCTGGGACTACAGGTGTGCACCACTGCCCCAGCTACTTTTTTTGTATTTTGTGTAGAGATGGAGTTTCACTATGTTGCCCAGGTTAGTCTTGAGCTCGCAGGCTCAAGCGATCCACCCTCCTCGGCCTCCCAAAGTGCTAGGATTACAGGCGTGAACCACTGCGCCCGGCCTTTGTTTTTTGTTTTAAGAGACAGGGTCTCGCTCTGTCACCCAGGCTGGAGTCCAGTGGTGTGACCATAGCTCACTGTAATGTCAAACTCCTGGGCTCACATGATCCGCCTACCTCAGCCTCCTGAGTAGCTGGGGCTACAGATGCATGCCACCATGCCTGCCTATCTTTCTTTTAATTTTTTGTAGAGACGGAGCCTCACCATGTTGTCCAAGCTGGTCTCAAACTCCTGGCCTCAAGTGATCCTCCTGCCTTGGCCTTTCAAAGTGCTGGATTACAGGCGTGAACCACCGCACCTGGCAAAAATTTCCAGTCCTGATAGATTAGAGCCTACCCCAAAGACCTCCTTTTGACTTAACCATCTATTTAAAGATCACACCTCTAAATGCAGTCCCATTCTGAGGTACTGGGGGTTAGGAGTTCAACACATGGATTTGGGGGGCAAAATTCAGCTCATAACGGAGTGGATGGGGGGAGGAAGTTTAGATAGAGAGGCTCGGGAAGGCCTCACTAAGAAGCTGTTTTTTGATGGTTGTGAAGGAGGTAAGAGAAGTAGCGTCGGGCCTCTGGGGCAGCTGCCTTCCACATGCAGAAGCCCTGTGTGGGGGCTCACCTGGTGCACCAGCATGAGGACCACGGCGAGCCTGGCTGGACAAGGCAGAGAGCAGCCACATATGGGACGGGAGACCGGCCAGACCACAGAGCGCCTGGACTTCAGCCTCCACAGAGTGAGCTGTGCAGATTGACGGTGTCAGCAGGGCCACTCTGGCTGCCAGCGAGGTTGGGGAGAAGAAGGGTGACTAGATCCAAGCTAAAGATGCCAGACCAGGTGGGGACAGTGGGTGTCTGCCCTGACCTCAAACTGTAGGTCCTGGAGGGAGCATCTATTCCCCCAGTGCTGCGAGTGTTGCTCCCGGCTGGGGTGCCCTGCCCAGGTCGCCCCTCTTCAGAAGCCAGGACCGCCGGATGCACTCAGGCAACTCGACTCCTCATCCTCCCCCTCCCCGTCCATCTTTCTCCCCAGCACAGACCCCGCAGGCACATCCCCTGCTCAGAGTCCCTGCCACAGGGAACCAAACCTGAAACAGTGAGCCAGTGAACCGTGCTCCGAGCCTGGATATGATTTTCAGTTAGAACTGGCAGGCTTGAGGCTTTCTCCTCGTTTTGCAGAGGAACCAGAGAGCCGGTCAGCCAAGGCTACCTCCAGTACTTCAGTCCACCCTGGGTTTAGGCCCAGAGGATCTTGACTATGACTTCTAGATTGTGTGCACCGTGGCCAGCGTCCTGGGCCTTTCCCACTCTCGCTAACTCCCATTCCCACCCTCGTGTCCTCATGGGGAGCTCACCAAGGGCCAGTTCTTGGGAGGATGGCGCCTCCTCCTCCAGCTTGCCCACAGCCCTGTCCCACTGCCTGCTCCCTTCTGCCTCCATACCTGTCCTCCCAACCTCCTCTCCCTCCCTCTGAAGATCCTGCCACCTCCTTTTCAGGGGACTTCCTTTCTCCCCTCTAGAGACAGGTGCCTCTCTGTGCTGGGGAGTGAGCTCTCCTGCTCTGCTCTTTGCTATTTGCCTTCCACCATGTGCAGGTCTGGCCAGTCCTCGAGGGTCTCTGCTATCCCGTCTGCCCCCCATTCTGTTCATCTTGTGTTTCTCCCAGCCTGGCTTCCAGAGCCAGCAGACTACACTCACAGCGCCATTTCTTCCTTATTTCTTTGCAAGCTGGCTTTTTTGCCCAGCCCTCTAGTGAAGCTGCCCCCTCAAAGGTCCCCGTTACCTTCTCACCAAACCAAGTTTCTTTTCTGAGTCCTGATTCTTGGATACCTTCCTGAGGTTTTTAAACCAGTCACCTCTCAGGGCTTTTGCATGTGGGAGGCTGTAGCCCCAGATGCCTGATGGCTGTTTCTCTTACCTCCTTCCGGTCTGTTAAAAAATGCCTCCTTTTCTGAGAGGGAGGAGCCCTCAGGAATGGTTTAGCGCCATCCTCTAGACGATGAGTTTTCACTCAGTTCATGTGAGATCCAGAGCTGTCCAGGTCACGCCCTTGGCCCCTCTGCTTTCTCGGGGTACTTCTTGATCGTCTTTTCCTCCTGCCCCTGCCTTCTACCCCTGTCTGTCTCCACTCCCCTTTGATCGCTGCCATACTCATTTCTGGCCCCTCATCTGTAGGCATTTCCCACTGGACGACCTGCCCACCCGGTCTCTGTCTCCAATTAAACTCGCCTCCTCCTCACTCTGGGATGGTATCGCTGCTGTCCCATTCTCAAAATGCCAGGGTCCTGTCTGACTTCCCACTTTCCTTTGTGCAGCTCATATCATACAATCAGGCACCAAATACAGATTTGTATTTCCTTTAAACCTCTCCTGTCTTACTCGGCTCGGGCTCTGATAGGGGTTAGATGTCTGTCCACTCCAAATCTCCTGTTGAAATGTAATCCCCAGTGCTGGAGGTGGGGCCTGGTGGGAGGATTGCATCATGAGGGTGGACCTCTCATGAATGGTTTAGTACCATCTTCTTGATGATAAGTGAGTTCTTGCTCAGTTAGTTCACGGGAGATCTGAGTGTTTGAAAGAGTGCGGCACCTCCCCCCAGCTCTCCTGCTCTAATCTCACCACGTGACATGCTGGTTCCTGGTTGCCTTCCACCATGACTGTAAGCCTCCTGAGGCCTCCCCAGAAGCAGACGCCAGCACCATGCTTCCTGTACAGCCTGTGGAAGCGTGAGCCAATGACATCTATTTTCTTTATAAATACCCAGTCTCAGGTATTCCTTTATAGTAACACAAATAGACTAATAATACAGGCTTCCGCAATAAAATACCACAGGCCAGTGGCTTAAACAATAGAAATTTATTTCTCAGTTCTAGAAGCTAGAAATTCTGAGATCAAGGTGCCAGCTGATGTGGCTCTTGCTGAGGGCCGTCTTCCTGGCCGGCAGATGCTCAGGCCCTTCCCTCTGTGTCTCTTCTTTTTTTTTTTTTTTGTTTTTCCTTCTTTGAGACAGAGTCGTGCTCTATTGCCCAGGCTGGAGTACAGTGGCTCCATCTCTGCTCACTGCAACCTCTGCCTCCCGGGTTCAAGTGATTCTCCTGCCTCAGTCTCCCGAGTAGCTGGGATTACAGGCACACACCACCACATCCAGTGAATTTTTTTGTATTTTTAGTAGAGATGGGGTTTTGCCATGTTGGCCAGGGTGGTCTCAAACTCCTGATCTCAAGTGATTCACCCACCTTGGCTTCCCAAAGTGCTGGGATTACAGGCATGAGCCACCGCGCCTGGCCTGTCTCTTCTTCTAAGGACACTAATCCTATCATTCTTATTGAGAGGGCCCCACTGGCATGACGTCATCTGACCCTAACGAGCTCCTAAAGGTTCCATCTCTAAAAACCATTCCACTGGGGGTCAGGGCTTCAACATATGGATTTGGTAGGGCAACAGGGGGTGGGGATAGGGTGGCTCAAACGTTCAGTGCATGTCTCCCCTACTTCCCCTCTTTGTTTCCTCTGATAACCTGTTGGGGTTCCTGACTCCCTCACCCACACCACGCTGAGCTACATTTCCTGCTGTGGCTTACTCTGGGGCTGGTGGAGTTGGCTTTTGCTTCCTTCCCCATCTCCTCCCCTTCCCAATTCCCTACCCTCCAGGCATTATACATCTCAGAGAGGGGAAGCGCCCAACTCTCCTGCCGCAGATGGGCCCACCCCTTTGCCCAAACGCCGCTGGGGGTTTAGGTGTCTGAGCCAACCTTTTCCTTGAAGGCCTCAAGGTCAGTTGCTCCATCTGCGAAAGGTGCCTGTGCCTGGGTACCCTTGGTCTATCAAGCCAGTGCGCATGTGAGGAAGCTGCTCCCTCTGCCACCCAGGTGGGCTGTCCCACCTGAAACCAGACAGCAGAGGCCCCAAAACCCAGCAGGCTCTTGGCTCACCCAGCCATTTCTCAGAGACGGAGGAACAGCCACTGTAGTTCCTTGAGTCTGAGACGTGCATTTTAACATTGTCTAAATCAGGGCAGAGATGACTATTGGTGGCATGTTCTAGTTTAATTGGAAGTTTTTTTTTTTTTCTCAGTGGTACATAAAATAGTGGTTCATTTTACAGTTGATGGTGACTTGGATTCTATAAGCTGTGAGGCTCAACTGCTGGTCCTGACTGCAGGAAAATTTCTAAAATAGGTATGGCATGCCACTGTGCAGGACTTTAGACTATATGATGCTAGTTAGGAAAGAGGAGAGAGAGATAAATGGAAGACTGGGTCCCCTCCCTAAGGCCTTACCACTCAATTTGCAAAACAGGGCTAAGAGAAAACATAAAAACACTTCTCAAGCAACATATGAGTAGGTGAGAACTGAAGTCTGTAAATCTGGGTGTTATATAAGCACTATTATCTGGGACCTCAGCATTCCAGGAAAGCTTCCTGGAAGAAGTGAGTTTCAGGTCAAAAAGTGGGCCAAAGGCTGATCTGCCTCACTGAATGGGCACACTGTTTTCATGAGGTAGTAATGTTTCCATCTACACAGAAAGAAGCTGCTCGGACAGCTGATGAGCATCATGCCTGGGATATTGAGCACATCATGCTTGACCTGGGCAGAGTTTGTGGGCAAGGAAAGGGGCTAAGGGTCAAGATAATCTCTGCTGGGGTTGTTCAAATTTATTACCCAACCATCACCTGAGAGGTTGTCCCCTGAGGATGGCTTGTCTGGTCATTACTGAATGTCTGCAGGGGCATGGCAGTGTTCTGCTTGGCTCTGGGGGCTCTGCCCTTTCTAGGACAAGTCCCAGAGACAAACAGCTTGGCCCAGTACAGCAGAATGGGGTGAGAGAGGAACTGAGTTCGTTTGCGGGCAGGATGGAAACAGCTGATGGAGGCTTCTCGGGCCATCCTCACGTACCCATCACAAGCGAAGGGAATTAAGCCGCCAAACCACCCCAAAGAGTGACTCCAACTCAGCCCTAAACACCCATACCCACCCCACCTCCCCTGCAGCTCTGACAGGCCAAGCCTGGGCGCTAGAACCCCGCGCCAGAAGGCCGGGCCACACACTCCAGCGTACACGCGCGGACACGTGCCGGTGTCCAGAGCCGGTGGGAGAGGCGCTGTCACCATCTGACAGGAGAGGAAGGTGGAGCGCAGAGAAGTCAGGGTCACGTGGTAAGTGGGGGTCGTGGTCTGGGGATCACGGCTCCAGGTCTCTTCGCGACAACGCACCGTTGACCCCCAACACCTCTCCCTGGCGGGGTCGGTGACCGCAACAGCCTCCGGGATAGAACGCTAGTGAAAGGTAACCTTTCTCCAGCCCGCTCCACGCGCTCCGCACCCGCTAAGCGCCTCCGCGAATTAACTCAGGCCTCCGCGCCGAAGTAGGCGCAGTTATGACCCCGCTTCCCCGCAGGGAGACCGAGGCACGCAGGGTCGAAAGGACTCGTCCAGGGTCGCAGGAGCCGACCACACAGGGAGGCGCAGCGCCCCCGGCGGGAACAGTCAGCGGGTCCAGCCTGGCGGACTCCCGGGCCGGGCTGCCCATATAAGGCTGCGGGCGGCCGGCATCGCAGCCAGGCTCCCGGGGTCGCCCCGCGCGGGGCATCCTCCTCCGCAGCGAGGAATGCGTGGCATCCGGGAGGCTCTTCCGCTCCACGCCCGCCTGCGGGGAGCCTCAGCCCCGGGGCGCGGCCTCGCGCAGCTGCCTGGCCGCTGGGGGGAGCGCGGGGCCGGGCGGGAGGCGGCGGCGCGCCCTCACCTGCCCCAGGCTGGGGAGGCGCGAGTGGGGAGGAGGAGGAAGGGGAGGAGGCCGGGGAGGAGCCTGGCGCGGCGGGAGCGGCGGCGCAAAGTGAAACTCTGGCAAGTTGCGGGCGCGCGGGGAGCTGTCGCGGGCAGCGCGCCCTCGGGAGGACGTGGCCCCGGCCCCCGCCCGCAGTGGGCCCGACCCTCATGGCCCTGAGCAAAGGGCTGCGGCTGCTGGGGCGCCTGGGGGCCGAGGGGGACTGTAGCGTGCTGCTGGAGGCGCGCGGCCGCGACGACTGCCTGCTGTTCGAGGCCGGCACGGTGGCCACGCTGGGTGAGTCCGGGCCGGGGGCAGCGACGCCCGGAGGAGAGGGCGCCCGCATTCGCCCAGCCTCGGGAAGACGGGTACCCCCCCTTCCCGAGGGGATCGGGCGGCGCTGGGACTGCCGGGGCGTAGGGGTCGCGCGCAGAGGGGTGGCTGTTTGAATGAAGTGGGGCTGGGGACTCGAGAGAGCACTCTGGCTGGGCCGGTGGCGCACGGAGGCCGGCCGCCCCTCCACGGGGATCTCCGGCCCGCGCCGCCAGAGGATATGGTTGCTGGATAGCCGGCTGGGGCGCTTTGCGTATTCATGAGGATCCCGGGGTGTTGACTTAGCCGGCCTGACCCTGTGCCTGGCGCCTTTTCTTTTGCACCTGTTGATGAAACCAGTGATTGCCCTTTGGTTTGTGTTGGCGGCTCCACTCCTGGAGGGGATGGGGACAAAAGCCCCAAAACATAGGCTCTGGAGAAACCGCTGATGGCAGCTTTGTCCCACGTAAATACTTGGTCGAGAAGCATCGGTGCTGCAATTTATAGAACTTGTAAACAAATATACCATGACCTTTATGCTGTCTTAGATCCTGCCAAGCCAGCGAATTTCACCTATGGACTTCAGAAGCCTTGAAACTGGCATTGTGCTATGGGCTTTAGTACGTGATCTCACTTAATTCTCACAATTCTACTAAAAAGCTATTATTATCCCCATTTTGCAGATGAGCAAACTGAGGCCTAAAGAGGCTAAGTTGCTTGCCAAGGTGACACCATCCACCTGACTTTTATGTGGCTGTTTCTGTAATGTCATTCAATGCGTGGCTTCCTGGTATCGCTAACCTGGGTCCCTTGTTTTGTGCTAACCATTATAAGGAAAACCTGGGTAGCACCAAAGCACGTGAAACCAGGTCTGATTGTTAGACTTCTAAATGTGGACACCCGAGAGTAAGCTCCCACCACTAGGCGTCCAGCTGTAACAGCTTGCCGGTATTCCTAGCTAAACAAGGTGCAGCCCGGGGTCACTCGTACTTGAGGTGGTCGGCAAATGCAGCAGGCTGCTTTGTAGATGCCTCTAGCCTTCTTTTCACATTTGTATGCATCGACTCCCGTTCGGATGTATGTCTTGGAAGGACTATCTCTCCTATTTCTGATTCCCTAATCATTTCATTAACATGCATTTATCCAGCTTGTTCTCAGTCACTTGATTACTGAAACAATGTCTCCAGTAGTCTCAGCATCAAAAGTAGGCAGTGAATTGTAGATTAAGTTATTTTCAGATTATTCTAATTTGTGCTGTCCTGAAGAGTCTAAGTTTGGTTATTTGGTGTGGCCTTGAAAGAAAACCACAGAAATTTCCATTCCATTTTAGATGTCTACTTCATACCACATTTATCGGAAGCGAAAGAGTAATTTCATGGTACAAAACTACTGTTTCATCAAATAGATTAAGATGTCCTTCAGTTGGATTACGGCAACATTAAGCCAAGTTCATACACATTCAAGAATTCTTTGAAGCAGCTTAGAAAAAAGAGATTTTATTTTTTCAAAAGTGAAGATTTAAAAATGATTAATGACAGTAATGTAGTGCATATTTTCCATTAGGAGCTGAAGTTTGGGCTGAGATTTACATCACGGTGGTGATTACAGTATACCAGATTTTAGAACAGAGAATGTAAGAAAGGAATTGGCTCGTCTTCAACTCATGTGCAGTCCACATTTGTCATTTAACCTAGCATTCATTTTTCAGTAGAAAACTTTAAAAAAAAATTTTTTTTTTTTTTGAAACAGAGGCTTCTTCTGTTGCCTAGGCTGGCATGCAGTGGCACAGTCACAGCCCACTGCAGCCTCAACTTCCCAGGCTCAAGCGATCCTCCTGCCTCAGCCTCCTGAGTAGCTGGGACTATAGGCACATGCCACCATGCCTGGCTAATTTTTTCTCTTTCTTTTCTTTTCTTTAAATGGGGTCTTACTATGTTGCCCATGCTGTTCTCGAACTCCTGGGCTCAGGTGATCTTTCCGCCTTGGTCTCCCAAAGCGTTGGGATTACAGGCATGAACTACTTACTGCGTCTGGCCTGAAAACTTAATTTTTTAAAGTCTGTTTTGTTTAAGTAAAATGAAACTATTTTTAAAAAGCAGCTGTAGCATTTGGTGGCTTTGCTGGTCCAGAGAATGTTTGTAGGAGAGAGCCTTATGTTACTAGAAAGTTGTTTAAAACTTTCAACATATCCTAAATGCATCACTATTGGATAAAATGGCTCTGAACTTGAAATTCCCATCTGTGTTCCAAAGGGCTAGCTAGCTGTTTTACTTTCCTTTCTTGGAGAAAGTGATTATTTTTTTTCTTTTTTTTGAGATGGAGCTTCACTCTTGTTGCCTGGGCTGAGTGAAGTGGTGCGATCTCGGCTGACTGCAACACCGCCACCCCCACCTGGGTTCAAGTGATTCTCCTGCCTCAGCCTCCCCAGTAGCTAGGATTACAGGCACACGCCACCATGCCTGGCTAATTTTTGTATTTTTAGTAGAGACGGGGTTGTGCCATTTTGGCCAGGCTGGTTTCTAACTCCTGACCTTAGGTGATCCACCTGCTTTGGCCTCCCAAAGTGCTAGGATTACAGGCGTGAGCCACCATGCCTGACCCGAGAAGGTGAATTTTTACAAGAAGGCTGCAATCTCTACTTTTGTATGGGACAGGACACTTGTGGCAGCTGGCGTAGCTGGTGGTCTAATCTTGACCTTTCACCCTTTCCTTGAAGTTCCGAGTCGGGGGTAGCTTCCTTTTCTCTTCAGCTGTGGTTTTCCTGTGATGGGTCCCTCCCAGTTAGTAATGAGAGGCTGAGAGACAAGTTGTGGTAACTGCTTCGTGGGTAGTGGTCTTTCCCGGCCCCTGAGTCATTCTAACTTCCATCCTGCTCCGCTGCGGATGCACATAGCTGCTTTCCTAGGGGCGAGAGGAGATGAGGGGACTGGGCCTGATGACCACAGGCGCTGCCCCTTCATAGCACATTTTATTCCTGAAGGATCCTAACTGGAAAAGTACCTCTCGCCGAAGGGGCTGGGTGGTTCCTTATCATTTTCAGGCAAGGCCTGGAGACAGGGGCTTGAACTGGGCTGTGATTTTTAGGAAAAACGGATGGTCCATGATTCGTTGATTGCTGGACTCCTTCCATCTGAACCTGTCTTCACCTGTCTTCACCTGTCCTGCTCTAAAGTGAACTCTTCACACTAGGGCCGTCTGGCCTGCTAGCAGGATTGTTGAAGGAATTATTCCAAATTCCTGCTTCTAAAAGAATTAGGTTGTGAATCTGAATCTGTCTTTTATGTAGATCAGTGGGAGCAAAAATTCCAGAGGCAGAAAAGCCAAATGTATTGGCACTGATTTAAAAGGCTTTTATGAAGTCTCGGGAACCTGACTGGAGGGTAGTTGGCCTTCTCAGCACAGGTGGGAAGCCCCGTAGCCGGTACCAGCATCCCTGGCCAACAATCCACAATTAGCAAACAGATGTTCCCTTATTTGCACATGGGACAAAAACCTACTCCTGTCTCTGTCTCTTGTAAACTTAGGGAAAAGTGCTTATTGTTAATGGATTTTGTGTATTTTCAGAGTAAGCGACAGTGTTCCAAAGTTCAAGGTTCTCCAACAGCCCCCAGGAACGGTGGCCTGAGGGTGTCCCTGTGTTTACAGTGCGGGCTGTGTGTGAGTGAAGTCGTGCCTCCTGCCGCCCAGCCGGGCTTTGCTGTGAACAGGCAGCAGGGAGGGAGGGATGGGGCAGGAGACTTGAGAGAATTAATTAAGTTAATTAATGGGTGTCCCTAAATTACTTTGAGCTTCTGGGGGGAAAGGTTCTGTGTAAACACCAGGCCCCCAGGTTCTCCCAGCTGCTGTTGTGCGAGGCCACGTCTCGAGTTTAGCTTTGTTTGAATTGGTGAGATGGCCCCAGGGCAGAGCAGGACTCAGTCTGAACTGTTGCCTAGATCACTTTCTCAGGCATTATGGCCAGATTTATTTGGTCACGGACTGGAATTTTGATCTGCTAGAGAGGACCACAGAGAATCAAATAAGTCACCATTTTATAAATGCTCCTGGACAAAGTTGAAACCACAGGTAGGACCAGGCAAGGGTTCCGGGGCCCCTGACGTGGGAAACTAGAGCAGCGACCCGGGACCACAGTGGTCTGTCTGCCTCCAGGACTGGTTTGCCTCCTCTCCTAGCCGGAGGCTGTCTCAGCGTAGTGTTTACAAAATGCAAACTGGGATGGTGTGTGCTTCTCCCGCGGGTTTTGTTTGTTTGTTTGAGACGGAGTCTCTTTGCCCAGCTGGAGTACAATGGCGCAATCTTGGCTCACTGCAACCCCCACCTCCCAGGTTCAAGGGATTCTCCTGCCTCAGCCTCCTGAGTAGCTGGGACTACAGGCATGCACCACCACGCCCGGCTAATATTTGTATTTTTAGTAGAGAAAGGGTTTCACCATGTTGGTCAGGCTGGTCTCAAACTCCTGGCCCCAAATGATCCGCCCACCTCAGCCTCTCAAAGTGCTGGGGTTACAGGCAATGAGCCACCACGCCCGGCCTTCCCCGTGATTTTTGTAGCTCACCTGTAAGATCGTGATTTCAAATCTTACCAGGCTCTTGTTTTGGCTGTGTGGCTCAAAAACTTGGCTTTTAGCCTTTAATTGTGAAAACGTTCAAACACAAAAGTAGAGGGAAAAATGAATCCCCTGTCTACCTGCCATTCGGCATTGATAGTTATCAATATATTGCCATTTTTATTTCACTTGTCCCTGTATTTTTTATGAAAACGTGAATCTCCTAAAATTTAGTTTGTTTAAAGCCAGGCAAGATTCTAATTTGTTGGGTTGGCTTTTTTTTTTTTCTTGCATTTAGATATAGAAGTTCAATTTTTTTATTTTATTGTAAATTGACAAATTATTATCGTTTTTTGAGATGGAGTCTTGCTCTGTCGCCCAGCTGGGAGTGCTGTGGCACAATCTTGGCTCACTGCAACCTCTTCCTCCCAGGTTCAAGTGATTCTCTGGCCTTAGCCTTCCGAGTAGCTGGGACTATAGGCGTGTGCTACCATGCCCGGCTAATTTTTGTATTTTTAGTAGAGATGGCATTTCACCATGTTGGCCAGGCTGGTATCGAACTCCTGACCTCAGGTGATCCACCCGCTTCGGCCTCCCAAAGTGCTGGGATTATAGGCGTGAGCCACTGTGCTAGGCCAACAGATTAGGATGATTATATATTATGGGGTACAAAGTGATCATATATGTGTACAATGTGGAATGATTAAATCAAGATGATTAACGTAGTCATCACCTCAAATACTTCTTTGTTTATTTATTTATCTTTTTTGAGGTGGAGTCTTGCTCTCTCACCCAGGCTGGAGTGCAGTGGCACCGATCTCGGCTCACTGTAACCTCCGCCTCCCAGGTTCAAGCGATTCTCCTGCCTCAGCCTCCTGAGTAGCTGGGACTACAGGCGCGTGCCATCACGTCCGGCTAATTTTTGTATTTTTAGTAGAGATGGGGTTTCGCCGTGTTGGCCAAGCTGGTCTCGAACTCCCGACTTCAAGTGATCCGCCCGCCTCGGCCTCCCAAAGTTCTGGGATTACAGACATGAGCCACTGCACCTGACCACTTATTGTTTGTAGGGAGAACATTTGAAATTTACTCTCCTAGTGATTTCAAAATATACATTATTATTAACTATAGTTACCATGCTATGCAAGTTCGAAATTTACTTGGCAGATTTCGTGTGGCCAGCAGCAGAAATGGTGGCATGAACTGATTCTGAGACATTGGCCAAGACACATTTTTAAAAGCAAAGTGACCACTTGGGAAGGGTCGACCACAGCCTGGAAGAACAGGGAGCGCTCTGCTGGTGAGCTCGGGAGGACAAGGTCTGGGCCCTTTGACGGCACTGCCTCTAGCCCCGGGCAAGAGAGGGCCGAGGGCCATGTCCAGTGGCCTCTATGCTCCCCTTTCTGGATGACATTCCTGCTGCTCAAGACCCTGGAGTGTGCTAAGCACATAGTGCAGCCTGCTCAGCCCCCTCCCAGGGCCTCAGGCAGACTGTGCAGCCGTATGTCCACCCCAGGCCCGGGCGTTGGGGTGGCAAGGGCATGTTACAGGTGGAACGGGACACACACTAGCTGGGACTCTGTGTGTGTATGCACGAGGCTCCCTGCAGGGGGGCATGAAGCCCAGGTTGGGGGAAGTCGGGGAAGAGAAGGTGGCCAGGCTGGGGCCGCCCTCCCCACTGGCTACATAATGAACCTGGCCTTCCAGGTAGTCACGGTGGCATACTTTTCGAGGTAGGAGGATAGAACCTATTTTATTTAACTGTTTTACTTTGTTAGCTTGATTTAAAACTGAACAGCTGGGCATACAGGATGCAGCACTCATGAGTACTCTGGCCCCAGACCCTACAGATATTCAGGCAGACCTGTCCTGGGCACCTGTCCCAGCCCGTGTCTCTCTGCTGTGTCTCTCTTCTGGAGCGTTCCTGGGGTGCTCAGGGTCCCCTTTGTGCTTTTTGGCTGCTCAGTTTCTGTTGCTGGGCTCCTTCGGCCTTCCCACTGAGGATGGGGAATATATTCTGTTTTCTTTCCACTTGAATTGTCCTTAAAGCCATGGGTAAACTGGTTCAGGCTCAGACTTGGGAATTTGATCGGAGTCCCTTTAGCATTTCTGGGCAGGGCTTGTTGGTGTCGTGGCCAGCTGTCCTCGAGGTGAAAACCAAATTGGGTTGGGAGGGTGCACATGACACTTAAAGCCCCCAGAGCTGCGGTGCCATCAACCACACACTGTGGACAGGAGGCTGTCAGTGGGCAGGCTGGGTCCACCTTCAAAGTCCATACGAAACAGCCCAGTTCAGGGTACTGCTTCTTTTCGAGATCTCACGGGCAGGAGCCTTCTGGCACTGTTCATGTAAATGTAAGTCATTCTTTCTTTCTGGAGGAAAATTTAGACAGGTGAATGAAAACCGGAGTGCTTAATCCGCTATTCTACATGCAGAAGTTTATCTCAGGAAACAGTCCCAGATCACTAGCCCATTTTGCTTCAAGGATGTTTATTGCAAGCTGTTTTGAGTTTTTCACTGGTTAAATAAACTTTGGTTCAACTTGATCATAATAGCTGACATTTGTGGAGTGTTTACCACCTACCAGGTGCTGATCCAAGTGGCTTACATTTATTAACTTACTTCATCCTTATGTCAAGGCAAGTACTAGTAATCTCCATTTTACACTTGGGGAAACTGAGGCACAAGAGGCCTAAGAACTTGCCTGAGGCTCCACCTCCAGTGGAAGGCTCCAGAGAACAATATGTTCAGTAAAATCTCATTCTTATGTAAAAAAATGAATATATATATATATATATATATATATATATATATATATATGGAAAAAGACTCCCTTTGTCCTGTTGTCTCTGGCTTATCTTGGTTTTCATCTGACATACACTTTTGATCGAGGAGGTTCCCACTTGGGGAAACAGCCAGCCCCTTTCTGAGCAGAGGGTGTGGCACTACAAAGGCGAAACATGATCTCTGGGAGAAACATGCTTGAAGCCCACGCTCCTGGGGGCAGAGCTGAGCCTCCACACGGATGTCCCCAGCACTGGGAGCAGAGGCTGATGCGGCCCCAAGGTGCTGAGGAAAGCGCCCCCCAGTGCAAAGGATGCTACAAGGCCCCAGGCTTCTCAAGGAACATGAGGCCTGGCAAACCCAGAACGTTAGACTGGGTCGGCTCCAAGATGCCCCTGGGTTTGAGCTGGAGAAGTGTCTGCGGGAGGGTGCTGGGGCTCCTGCAGAGCGTGTCTTCCTGACCCTGTGGGCTTTTCTGGGGGGGGCTAGGAGGCTCTGCCAAGTTGGTGGATGGAACTGTGCCTTGCCCTGGGGGGCACTGGGCAGGAGCCAGCCTCGGAGCGTGAGTCTGGTGCTGCGCCAGGAGGCTAGATGCCCCGGCCAGGTCCTGTGGGCTGCGCCGTCTGTGCCCTTGGCCCGCGAGGCTGGCAGGCTGCCACTGCTTGTAAAGCCTCCTGGTTGAAAAGGTGACTCGGAGCAGCGGATTCACTGGGAGCCTGTCAGCCACAGAGGCAGCTTGTGCTTGTGCCCCAGGCCCAGGCCGCAGGAGGTGGGATCAAGTTCCACGGCTCCAGTGTGAAGGTCTGAGCTTCATTCTAAGGCAGGTTTTTGAGGACATGGGGCTCTCGGGCACCTGGTTGTATTCCTGCATCCTGCATTCCTGCCCACTCTCTCATGCCTTCTTCTCCTTCTCCTTGGCGTGCCCCAAGCCAGCCTTCCATCTCAGATGGAGTTGTATGTTTCTAGTGAGCCCACACACCCCCTGAGGACAGGGCCTCACCCCCGCACGCCTGCTTCTTCATCACAGCTGCTAGGAAATGAAGATGCATGTCCCCAGGGGCCTTTGAAGTAGGATGTGGTCTCCCTGAGCAGAACTCTGACTCTAAATTCTCTCCTGGCTCTGGCGTTGGTGTGGGACTTGGGTTGCGGGAGGGGGCAGGTTGTTAGCGGCTGCTGCTCAGACCCAGCGGAGGACCGGGCTGCTCCAGGCTCCCGGCAAGATGTAGCAAAATGGCCAAATTTAAGGTGAGCACGGGCTCCCGTGCAGTTTCTCACCCCTGCTGCTGGCTGCCTGTCTGTGAATGCTAAGGCGAGGGGTGGTTCTACATTGACTTCTTACTGACTGGTGGGAGTAACCCGGAAGAGGCAAATGACTTCCTTCCCTTTCCTCGGCTCTGAACCTAGAATGTTCCAGTGATACCACCTCCAAACTCTTCACCTGTGTCCTTTCCCACCTCTCTGCCCTGAGGACAGGGAACTAAGTGGCTGCTCACGGTGGGTAAAACTGAGGCTTACAAGACACCTTGGGCAATGGGACAGCCAGACCCCAGCCCTCAGCACCTGCCTCTCCCATCCCAAGCCCCAGTCTCTTTTTCAGCTGCAAAGTCAATACCTTTGCTTTCAGAGAGGGAGCATGTGCCACGCCAGGAGAGGCTTTGGGTGTATCACAGATGGAGACTGCCTAGCTTAACTGCGCAGTCTGAATGATTCTAAGGAGGGGAAGAGAGAACGCCTCTGGAGCCTGGCACACACATTTGCCGGAGAAAGTGGTGAGTGCGTTGTGACCAGGTGAGGGACGAACCTTAAGGAGATTGGCTGAGAACACCTCCCCTCCTCACCCTAAGTCAACAAACCCGGGACAGCAGTGCTTCCAAAACCTTACTTGTTCACCTCACCTGGAGATTCTTGTGGCAAATCGGGTTCTGCCTCGTTGGCTCTGGGGTGGGCCTTGAGAGCCTGCCGTTCTAACAAGCTCCCAGGTGATGCTGATCCACGACCAGCTTTGAGTACCAGGATCTCGCATCAGCTTGGGAGGGAGGAGACCTGAATCCTAGCCCTGGCTCCTTAGGCTCTTCTTTCCAGTGGGGGAATTTAGTTAATTGCTCCGGGCCCCAATATCTTAATCTGAAAACAAATGAATGACAACCTAGTTGCCTTTCCTACTCTGAGATTCCATGCGTCTTAAAAGAAAAAAGTTTTAAAACTAAACATGTCACTGTCACCATCGCTACTTCACACACCTAAAGTTATAAACCACTCAGAAATGCAAATCTTAGGAGATGTGATCTGGCAAGGCAAAATCGAAGATGGCTTTGAGGTCTCAGCTAAACCTAGAAATCTGATGCTCTGCATTTTTTATGGGATGCTTATGAATTAATGAAAATACATGAGATTATCTCTCCTTGAGTCTACCCTTTCCTACAACCAGCAAAAACTTATAAAAAGCAATTGAAGCTTACTTTGGGAATGCCAAGGGATTGATTAAAATATGGACTGTGCTGATTCCATGGCTGGTTTAGCAGATTCTTGTTAAAAGCCATGACTTTTTAAAATTTTTATTTTTTTGTGGGTACATAGTAGGTATATATATTTATGGGATACATGAGATATTTTGATACAGGCATGTAATATGTAATAACCACATCATGGAAAATGGGGCATCCATCCCCTCACACATTTATCTTTTGTGTTACAAACCAATTATACTCTTTTAGTTATTTTAAAATGTACAGTTAAATTATATAGTCACCATGTTGTGCTATCAAGTACCAGTTCTTATTCATTCCTTTTATTTTTATTTGTTTTACTCATTAACCATCCCCACCTCCTCCCTAGACCCCCGCCGCTACCCTTCCTAGCCTCTGGTAACCATCCTTCTATTCTCTATGTCCATGAATTCAATTTTGATTTTTAGATCCCACAAATAAGTGAGAATATGCAATGTTTGTCTTTCTGTGCCTGGCTTGTTTCTTTTTTTTTTTTTTTTTTTTTTCCTTTTTTTTGAGACAGAGTCTTGCTCTGTCACACAGGCTATAGTGCAGTGGTGCGATCTCGGCTCACTGCAACCTCCGCCTTCTGGGTTCAACCTCCCAAGTAGCTGGGATTACAGGCACCCACCACCACACCCAGCTAATTTTTGTATTTTTAGTAGAGACAGGGTTTCACCATGTTGTCCAGGCTGGTCTCGAACTCCTGACCTCTGGTGATCCACCCGCCTCGGCCTCCCAAAGTGCTGGGATTACAGGTGTGAGCAGGTGTGAGCAACTGCACTCGGCTGGCTGGCTTGTTTCACTTAACATAATGACCTCCAGTTCCATCCATGTTGTTGCAGATAACAGGATCTCATTCTTTTTTATGGATAAATAGTACTCCACTGTGTATATGTACCACATTTTCTTTATCCATTCATCTGTTGGTGGACACTGAAGTTGCTTCCAAATCTTGGCTATTGTGAACAGTGCTGCAACTAACATGGGAGTGCAGACATCTGTTTGATATACTGATTTCCTTTCTTTTGGGTAGATACCCAGCAGTGGGATTGCTGGATCATATGATAGCTCTACTTTTAGTTTTTTGAGGAACCTCCAAACTGTTCTCCATAGTGGTTGTACGCATATAGTACATATAGTACATAACATATATAACATATGTATACTACATAACGTATATATAGTATATAACATATATAGTGGTTGTACTAATTTACATTCCCACCAACTGTGTACAAGGGTTTCCTTTTCTCCACATCCTTGCCAGCATTTGTTATTGCCTGACTTTTGGATGTAAGCCATTGTAATTGGGGTAAGATGATCTCTCAGTGTAGTTTTGATTTGCCTTTTTCTGACGATCAGTGATGTTGGGCACCTTTTCATATGCCTGTTTACCATTTGTATTTCTTCTTTTGAGAAATGTACATTCAAATCTTTTGCTCATTTTTTGGATCGGATTATTAGATTTTTTTCCTGTAGAATTGTTTGAGCTCCTTATATATTCTGGTTATTAGTCCCTTGTCAGATGAGTAGTTTGCAAATATTTCCTCCCATTCTGTGGGCTGTCTCTTCACTTTGTTGATTGTTTCCTTTGCTGTGCAAAAGCTTTTTAACTTAATATGATCTCTTTTGTTCATTTTTGCTTTGGTTGCCTGTGCTTGTGGGGTATTGCTCAATACATTTTTGCCCAGGTCAATGTCCTGGAGGTCTTTCCCAATGTTTTACTGTAGTAGCTTCATAGTTTGAGGGCCATGGCATTCTTAAAAACATAACTTTCATTCTTGCATAGCTTTTTTTTTTTTTTTTTTTTTTTTTAAGTAACCTGGACTGTCATTTGGCTAGGGAGGCGGGAGTTTGTGTGTCTGGAAATGTGTGGGTTTTTTTTTTTTTTTTTTTTTTTTTTTTTTTTTTTGGGACGGAGTCTCGCTCTGTCTCCCAGGCTAGAGGGCAGTGCAGCTACCTCGGCTCACTGCAAGCTCCGCCTCCCTGGTTCACACCATTCTCCTGCCTCAGCCTCCCGAGTAGCTGGGACTACAGGCGCCCGCCACCACCCCTGGCTAATTTTTTGTATTTTTTAGTAGAGACGGGGTTTCACCATGTTAGTCAGGATGGTCTCGATCTCCTGACCTCTTGATCCACCTGCCTCGGACTTCAAAAGTGCTGGGATTACATTACAGGTGTGAGCCACCACACCCAGCCAGTGTGTGGTCTTTTTTATCTGTCTGTTTAAACTGTCTGTTTTATATGTTGCATGAACCCCGCTTTACCATGAATCTTATCAATGACTGATAAATATTGTCTATTGGAAACATTCTCTTTAAGAGGAGGTGACCGTTCTCTGCAGCTCCTGCTGATTCAGCAAAGCTGAGGTCAGGTGGAGCCAGCTGGGCAGAGATGAGTGATTAGAAGGCTGTCATTGGCAGTGACAGTCCACGTGCTCCAGGGCAGAACAGTGACACTGGCTGTCACAGTCTGTTTCAACAATGGAGGTTGTTTGTTTTTATTTAAATGATGTGAATAAAGAAAGGAATCTTTGAAAACTAAGGCTGGAGCTGCCCAGGCCTGAGCCAGGCCCTTGTAACAAGGCCCTTCTGGGTGGGGGATCTACCTCTCTTTTCACCTGGACCACCTGGCGGTGGGTGGCGAGCTCAGAACCACAGCTGGGTGGAAAATGGGAGGGCCAGCAGCGAGCTGCAGGAATGGAATTCCATGATGGCATCTCATGTCTCCAGAGTGGACAGACAGAAGCTTGTGTTTTCATTTCAAAGGGCATCTGCCACGCCCTCCAGGCAGACCACATAAATGGCATTTTTGGGTGAGGCCTGAGGGATTCTGTCTGGTGGTATACACTGATTTTAACCAGAAGCAATAGATTTGGGCTCTTTTTGACAGGGGAAGATAGATGAGAGATGATTTCCATGAGGATGTTGAAAATATTGGCAATTCTGAAGACCCCAGGGAGTCCCAGGGGGTTCCTGGCCAGGAGCGCCCCTCCATTGCCCTGCACCACCTTGCTTTCCAGGCTGTGGCTCTGTGTGTCTGAATCTACGGCATGGGGGCACTTCCTTCTAATTCACAGAAGAAGCTATATGGGCCCCAGACTGCCCATCCTGCTAAAACTGGCAAAGGCCTTTTCCCAGCCTGAGCAGTAGTGATTCAGCCAACTGCAGAAGTGGTATTTGGAGCTCACCCTTAAAACATAAAGCAAGTTATGTTCAGACTATATACAGGCAATGAGAAAATATGATGAAATATGACTGCGTATGAATAGCCCCAGACTTCTAGGGCCTTTGAGTGTGTCTGTCTTGGGCAACATCTTCTCCTTTTAGATTTCAGGCTCAGTTTACTGTCAGGAAAATTAAGTTGCTGAGAGCGTCTCAGAATTTTGGCTTAAAAGAGAATATACACCTGGAACAAAGACTTGAGGGGTGCTCCTATTAAAAAAAACAAACAGTGTGTGAGCTTCAAAGGAGCACCTTGAAACTCCAGTTCCATCACATCCACTCTGCTGGGCCCTCCTAGGGCAGCTCTCTGTCTTGTGCCTGCCTTCTCTTCTGAACACTCCTAAGGTATTTTGAGTGCGGAGGATAGGATCATACACTCAGGAAAGCCGAGAGCTAGATCCTGAAGCATCTGTGCGGGAAATGCCCATCTGTGCCTGAAATGAGCATCTGCGAGTGAAGTGATCCCATGTCTGGGATCTGTTTGGCATGCGCCAGGAGACAGACGGACACATGCATGCACACACACACACAGCGGGGACGGGGAGTTGGTGAAATAAGAGTGGGAAAATGTTGACACCTCCGTGAGCCGGGTGACAAGCTGCTTGGTGGTTCACTAGACAGGGAGTTATAAATTGGCCGCTTTTCAACATCGACAGATAAAAATCAATAGCCTTCCCATAATGCCATCATTAATCAATTAGAGTCTGTAATGGGAAAAGCAGATGCCACTCCCCCACAGTTTCTGGGAATAAACAAAGTGTATAAGGCCTAAAAGAAGAAAGCTATAGAACTTGACTGAAGCCCACATCTGTGGAAAGGCATACTATGTTCTTGGAGTGGGAACATCAACACTATAGAGATGGCAGTTCCTCTCCAGTTAATCTGGAAGTGCAAGTATCGATGAGTAAATCCAATTAAATTCCAACAAGAGCCTGGTCTAAAATGTAACAGGCTGATTTTACAGTATCGCTGGACTCCCCCTACATCCAAACTTATTCTTACCTTCATTCTCCCATTTTGGTTAATGGCAGCACCATCCAGGCAACTGCTGGTAATAAAAGCCTGTGAGTCATTCTGACGCCCCTTCCTTCCTCAGCCTCATCCAACCTACCAGCCAGTAGTGAATCCCACCCCAAAACAGATGGTGAATCCCACCGAGTCCCCCGGTCATCGCTGCTACATCGAGAGTGCAGCCACTGCCCCATGTGCTTTCCTGGTCTGCTTGGCAGCCTTTGAACTAGTCTCCTGGCTCTTCCCCTGCTCCCCGTATAGGGATCTGCTTGAAGCTCACACAGCCCTGATCCTCTGCCCCTGCCTCTTTCTCCACCCTCATCTCCCACCATTTCCTGGGCTCACTGCATTCAGCAGCCTGACTTGTTCCTGCTCAGAATCTTCACACCCACCTGCATGCACTCCCTCCCCCAGGTGATATGGTTTGGATCTATGTCCCCACCCGAAGTCATGTTGAAATGTGATCCCCAGTGCTGGAGATGGGGCCCAGTGGGAGGTGATTGGGCCATGGTGGTGGTTTCTCATGAATGGTCAGCACCATCCCCCCTGGGGTTATCATTGAAACAGTGAGTTGCCACAAGATCTGATTGTTTAAAAGTGTGTGGCACCCACCCCACCCTCTTGGTCCTGCTCCTGCCATGTAAGTTGCCTATTCCCACTTTGCCTTCCACCATGAGTAAAAGCTCCCCGAGGCCTCCCAAGAAGCAGATGCTGCCATGCTTCCCGTATAGCCTACAGATCCATGAGCCAATTAAATCTCTTTTCTTTATAAATTACCCAGTCTCAGGCATTTCTTTATAGCAGTGCGAGAACAGACTAGTACACCAAGGGTTGGCCTGGCTGCTGCTGCCTCCGTCTCCCCACCTACCCCACCCCCCCCCACCCAGCTTCGTGACTGCAGTAAGACCTTCCTGACCTCTGTGGCTGGAATACCCTGCAGCCCCCACACACCAACTGTCTCTGCCCCATGCCTGGTTTCCTTTCTTCTTGGCGCTTATCACTGAAATTACCTTATGTGTGTGCTTACGTGGGTGTCTTCTGTTGTCCACTGCAAAAATGCATTGTGGGTTGAATTGTGTGCCCCAGAAAAATACATTGCTGTCCTAACCCGGGATACCTTGCAATCTTATTTGGAAATAGGGTCTTTGCAGATGCAATGAAGATGTAAGTTAAGATGGGATCGTACTGGTATAGGGTGGGCCTTTAATCCAATGTGACTGGCGTGCTTATAAGAAGAAAAGGGACACAGGCAGACGCACGCAGAGGGGAGAATGTCATGTGAAGGCATACAGGGAAGACAGCCATATGACAATGGAGGCAGAGATGGGAGTGACACTGCCGCAAGACAAGGAATGCCTGGGCTACCGGAAGCTGGGAAAAGCAAGGGAAGATGCTCCTACCCACGCCTTGATCTTGGATTTCTGGCCTCCAGAACTGTGAGACAATAAATTTGCTGTTGTTTCAAGCCCCCCGTTCTGTGGTTCTTTGTTACAGCAACCCAGGCAACTAATACAGGGGCATTGTGTATCTCGTTCAGTACCTTACCTTAACACTGCCTCGTGTGGAAATGAGGCTTGGCAAACACTGTTGAATGACGAAGCATTGGCAAAAAAAATAGCCAAGATTTTGAAAAGGATCCACAAAGGCAGACTGATTTACCAGGTAGCACAACATATTATAAAGCCCTAACCATCGTGGAGGCTGTCAGCACAAATCAACACAGTAGAGTGGAAGGCTCAGAACAGACTTGTGTGAGCAGTGTTACTTTGTTTCTTATAAAGGTGATGACTTCAGTCGGTCAGAGAAAGGTAAGGGTGGATACTCAGCACCTGCTGTTGGTGTGGTTGATCAGTGCAGTGCCTAAGAGGCCCCTGCTCTATTCAACTGGATATTCACGCAGGCATTCTTGGCCGGTCTGCTCAGAGAGGAATAGGCTGGAAACCTTGGCTGGCCAGCAGGATGCTGCCTGCTGCTCTGCTTCCAGGGGAGCGAGGGGTCTTCCTGGCAGTTTTTGCAGGTGGCTGCACACACAGGTGTCCTTCTGGTCACTAGCTCCTCCCCCAGCTGAAAGCCCTGGGTCCCCAAGGAGCCAGAATCCCTTATAAAATTACCAGCCTTACAGAGCCCTGGGTTCACACAGGGGACATTCCATGTTACAAGAGTTACCACACCTAAGGAAGCCCCATGCCTGGCTTCTTCACCGAGTGGTTATAATTCACTTATGGGTCTTCCCTGTCCAGAGGCAATTTGCCAATCAAGGTCATTTTTACCATGAGCAATGTTGTCTAGTAACAGAGTTGACGTTCCATCTTGATTGGGGTTCCCAGGGAACCAGAGCTAGATAATTAAACATTAAATTCTCATACAGAAGGGAAGAAAGATTTTGCTAAGCCTGTGACCAAAACTATCCATATGGACACTAAGTGAGAGTCCTATGTTTTATCATACATTAAAATAAATGCAGAGGTATTTAAGTGTAAAAAAACAACTTTCAAAGTATTAGAAAATATAGGCTATGCTTTCACAGTGTTACGGCATGGAAAGATGTTCTAAGGAAAGCATCAAACTCAGAAGTCATAAAGGAAATAAACCTGACAGATATGGGAAATATTTTTATTGAAGTGTAACATACATAGAGAAAAATGAACACTCGAAGCGTTGAGCTCCATGAATCTTCACCCGGTGAACACACCCACATAGCCAGCACGCAGATCTGGAGAGAGAACGTTTGCATCCCAGGCCCCTGCCTCCCATTCCCCCTGTGTCCGAATGATAGATTTGACTACATAAAAATGGAAAACTCCAATATATCAAAAGACACCATAAACGTAGTGAAAAGACAAGCAACAGCCCAGAAGGAAAGTTTGTGCAGCCTTTTGTAACATAGAAAAAGGCCAAAGATGGATGATCATAGCATATAAAAGAACTCCTATAGATCATGAAGAAGGAAGGACAAATAGTTCAACAGAGAAATTGGCAAAGGATATAATGAGCAATTCTCCAAAGGAAAAATACAAATGGCCAAAACAATGGAGCCAGTGTGGCCGGCTCTGCCCAGCACGGCCATTTGCACATGGTCACTGTTGGGTGGGTGAGGGCTGCTTGCCCCGTCTCCAGCCCCACTCTCTTGCCATCTCCCCCTGTGATTCAGGCATGGAGCTCAGGCCCCAGGTGGCAGGCAGCGCACTCTGCTCAGTTACCCCAGCTCCTGGCTTCATGGCCATGCCCTGGCACCTGTCTCCCTCCCCTTAGCCTGCTGACCTTTTTCCCATGGGATGTTTGGTTGTCTCTGTACAGGCTCTGAGCCAGCCCTATGGGCTTCCAGACAAGCCCAGATTGAGCCTGCCCTCTAGGGAGCACCCCTGTGTAGCTTCCAGCTGAGACCTTGAGACACAGGCCCAGGGAGCCAAGCTCAGGGCTGCGAACATCCAGGTGGGGCTCAGGTGCTAGAGGCGGACAACAGCCTGGTGCAGGACCCAGAGTGGCAAGAGGTAGTAAGGGGGCCATGGTGTTCAGAAATTGGGGCAGGTGGTGGGTAAGGCATCCTGCTTCTAAAGGCCAGGGTTTGGGAGGGCAAGGAAGCCCCTGGCAGGAGTCAGGGCAGGCATCCCGGGCAGGTAGTGTTTGTTCTGTGAAGCAGGCTTCCCCAAGGAGGGGCCCTAGAGCAGAAAGCTGTGATGTGCAGGTGACTGGGAGACCTGTTCTCTTTCGAGCCGTGCAGCTCCGGTTAGTGGATGACAGATTTCAAGCCCTGCTCAGGCCAGTGTTTTTCACACATGTTTGACCTTTGGTTGACAGCACACAGCACAACAGCTTATGGTCCAGGAGTGCACCTCGGCATGCAGTTTGGGAATCCTGGCGATGATGTGATTAAGATTCTGGGGCCAGGTTCTCACCAAGCCAAAAGGCTTTTTTTTTTTTTTTTTTTTTTTTTTTTTTTTTTTTTTTGAGGCAGGAGCTAATTCTAGGTACAGAAAACCATTGGTAAAGTGGAGGAAGCTGTTTCCAGATCCACGGAATGACGGTAACTAGCGTCACTTGAGAAGGTTTCTTCTGCCCTTTTGTAAAAAATAGCATGATGTTTTCTCCTAGAGACAGACAGGGCCTCTGTACGTAAGAGCAGACATGTATGGAGAAGGCCGGAGAGTCACAAACCATATGTGCCTGAGATGTGCCACCTGTGGGGCTGTGAATAAGGAAGCAGAATCAGTGTGTTTACTCAGAGCTGGATTTGGCTGTTTGTTCCTTCATCTTTCTTGGACCACATGTCCTGGTGTTCAGAGGCTCCTGAGAGCCTGGGGCTCAGTAGGCCGTCTCATAGCCCCTCTAACCCAGGTGAGAAAACAGGTCCCAGTGGGTCCCTAACCCATGCTCATTTTCTCACCAAACAACAACAAATAAATCAGAAAGTCCTGAAAAATGAATTCTGGCCTGTTTTCTGGATTCTGGATTGAAATATGGAGTAGGAGCTGACTTTTAGTAAGTTGATCAACTCTCCCCGCCGACCCCCTAGCCTTCTGGAACTGTCTTCAGTAAACACAACCCCCGCCACCCCTGACCTACCCGCACCGCACTGTGGTCGGCCTCTTCTTTGAACACTTCCCTTACAGCACGCACTCCCCCCAAGCTGGGCCTTCTCTTGAGACCACTCTGCTGTCCTTGGGAGTGATGGTGGAGGCGGGGTAGACACCCTGTCCCTGTCTCGTGGTGCTCCTTTGGGCCACAGCTCCTCTTCCCTCCGTAGGAGGAACCATCTGGAATCCATCTTCCTCCTTGACCACACCTCTCCATTCATTAAGGAGCAGAGTTCCCTGCTCACTGGGTCTCTCTACCCCTCCTCTGTCCCTGTCTGGGTGAGGTCACAGAGAGCCTCACCCGCCTGCTCTGTTGGCCTCTCACTTGCCGTCCTCTCTGCCCCGTTCCCTCTCCTGCACACCTGTCCGCGGTATCCCCAGCTCTTAGTGACTCTAGCCCTCTCCCGCCCTCCTCTGCACCCTGCATGCACTTGTGTTGCTGAATGTGGCCGGAGAAAAACACAGCCATCTTGACTGTTCTGTGAGACTTCATAGATTTCCAGGGCTGTGTGGAATCAAAAAATCTTCCTGCATTTCCCCAGCCATCTGGCCTCCAGGATGACTATTTCACATCTCCTCAAGCCTTTCACATCTCATCCCCCTCACACCTGATGATTTTGCTTCCTATTTCACTGGGAAAATGAAGGTAACTGAGAACTTTCTTTTTTTTTTTTTTTTTTTTTTGAGATGGAGCCTGGCTCTTGTTCCCCAGGCTGGAGTGCAATGGCACGATCTCGGCTCACTGCAACCTCCACCTCCCGGGTTCAAGCGATTTCTCCTGCCTCAGCCTCCCAAGTAGCTGGGACTACAGGCGCCCGCCACCACGCCCGGCTAATTGTCTTGTATTTTTAGTAGGGACGGGGTTTCATCATGTTGGCCAGGCTGGTCTCGATCTTCTGACCTCGTGAGCCGCCCACCTCGGCCTCCCAAAGTGCTGGGATTACAGGCATGAGCCACCGCGCCCAGCCAAAGGTAGCTAAGAACTTTCAACAGCCCCCACACCTACTCCCTGGCTCTGGTACAGTGGACAGCCTCCCAGGCTTGTCCCCCCTCCCAGTGACCTTGACCCCTCTCATCTTTTAAGACCTCGCTCCCGCAGTTTCCCCCTTTCCTTCCTAACTCGGTCATTTGCACCATTATACCAACAGGCTGTCTTAGCTCACATTAAGAAACCCTCTCTTGACCCTGGCCTCCACCTCATCTCTTGGTTTTCCCATGTGACGAGGTTGTCTACACACCTTCCCTCTTCCCAGTCTCCCTTGAAGTGACTCCAGCCAGGCTGTGTCCTCCCACTCTTCTGAAACCTTTCCTCAAGGCCTCCAGGACCTTCTGGCTGCTCAGTCTTCCATCCAACAGCATCCCACAGATGAAGCATTTTCTTCGCTTGGCTTGTCTTACGCTCTGTTCTCATCATATTGCTTCCTCACTGCCTGTTTTTCTCCAGAGCCTAGAACCATGCCTGGCACACAGTGGGCATCTAGACCCTTTGCTGAGTGGTGAAATTGAAGTGTGACAGGGTGCGTGGCTTCCCTGCTCAGGCTCCCTCAGTTCCCAAAGCTGTGCTCCTTCCTGGATCTCATGTAGCACAAGGAGGCATACGTGGGTCGCACCACATGGCTTCTAGAGGAGTATGTGTGAATGTGTTCATGTTCATGTGGAAATAGGGAGGCGGCCCTGAGGTGGGAGGAGCCTTCCCAAGAGGAATCACCTGAGAGAGGAAGAAGAGCTGGGGAGGAACTGAGGAACTGGTTTGGCAGGTTCAGGAAGAAGTGAGTGAAGAAACTGGAAAAGTAGCCAGGATCAGAACCTGCAGCCGCAGGACCTAATTTGTTAGGACCTAAATTAGGGGTGATTGTGCAAGGCAGTGCAGCATGGAAGCCCCACTCCAGGACTTCCCTGGTGGCTAGGAAACATTGCTCCACCCCTCCCTCTTGTCAAAAGAGAAGGTGCACACACTTGGAGAGAAATGGGTATTTTTGTGCTTCTTTCTTGTTCCCTGTTGGGTAGGAGGGTTGGGGCTACCAGGCCCAGTGAAAACACAGCCCAGCCCTGCCTGTTCTGCCTCATCCTGAAGTGTAAGGAACTGCCCATTGTGCTGGGCCCTGTCACTGGCTCTGCCCGAGGCATATGTGGCACTGGGCCTGGCTTTTTAAGGTGCAAACTGTTTTCCTGGATTTCTTATTTTTAAGGGAAAAAACTCAACTACAAAGACTCAGTGGCCAGTCCTGTGCTCAAGCCCTCTTGTTAGGGGAGCTGGCCTCCCTCTTTGGCCACAGCTCAGTGCAGGGAGGGGTGTGGAAAGTGCTGGGAAAGGGGGAGGACCCACCCTCCCCACAGATGGGTTTCTGGCTCTGACTGCGGGAAACCAAACTTTCTTGTATTTTCTCTGGCTGGGTTGTGATGTGGGCATGGCGTTGGTGGGAGGTAGTGCATTTGCTGAGGGTGATGTGTTCTGAGTGTCCCCTCACTCCGTGGCTCTTTCATGTGGCCTGGACTTTTTGGTGAGGGAGCAGCAGTGGGAGGACAGGAGAGTCCTTTAGCGGGCTGATGTGTGTCTGCCAGTTGGCTTTGTCTTGGCTCGCAGCTTCTGTTTCAGACAGATGTTTTGATCCCCCTTTGCTTAGCAACCAGCTGCAGCCTTGCTCTGTCTTGGGAAAACCACTGTCTTTCTGAAGAGCTGCTTCAGCTCCAAAACTGATAACTCTGGAAGGAGCAGCCACCAGCCAGTCAGAACTGAGCTCCGAATTAACACATGAAGGAGACTTTGGCCTCTTGAGACCCTGAAATACAAGAAGATGGTTTCATGTCATGTCCAAGAATGTGGCCACAAATGCTACCTCAGTCTCGGGCTGTCTGCATTGTTAAATGACCTCATTATTTTTCTGACCTGTGGGCCGGGCTTCGTTGGCATTTCCTTAAGGCGTGTTATTGTGGAAAATATTATTCAAGAAAGAAGAGCATGTGGTTTGCTTGGTTACTGAGCTGGACTGGCTCTGGGTGACCAGAGCTCTCACGCAGAGCCGTGCACGGCTGCTCCCACTGAGACCAGCCTCTGCCTCGGGATGGTCTGACCCACGGAGCTCTGTTTTGGGACCCAGAATCCATGAGCCACATTTGCTGTGCTGTGGGACAAACCACAGTTTCCTTGGGAGCCTCTCAAGTGGTGGCTGTTTCTCTTCCACACCCTTGGACCACTGGAGCTGGAGACGGGGAGTTCCCCAGCCTCCTCCAAGGATAAGCCTATTCCTTAAGCCTCCACAAGCCCCATCATTATTTATTTTTATCATAAGCCATGTTGTTCGAGTAGCATAGACAACTTTCTCAGGTTACCAGGGAAACAGGACTAGAAAGTCAACCCACGATCAAATTACCTTGCCGAAAGGGAACCAGCTCAGTTAACCCTTGACCCCACACGCCATTGTCAGAGGCGTATGAACCAGAGCGACTCCATCTTGAATAGGGGCTGGGTCAAATGGATCTGAGACCTGCTGGGCTGCATTCCCAGGAGGTTAGGCATTCTTAGCCACAGGATGAGATAAGAGGTCAGCACAAGATACAGGTCATAAAGGCCTTACTGCTAAAACAGGTTGTGGTACAGAAGCCGGCCAAAACCCACCAAAACCAAGATGGCAATGAAAGTGACGTCTGGCCATACTCACTGCTCATTATATGCTAATTATAATGTATTAGCATGCTAAGAGACACTCGCACCAGCACCATGACAGTTTACAAATGCCATGGCAAAATCAGGAAGTTACCCTATATCCTCTAAAAAGGGGAAGAACCCTCAGTTCCTGGGAATTGCCTACCCCTTTCCCAGAAATGAATAATCCACCCCTTATTTAGCATATAATCCAGAAATAATCATAAAAATGGGCAACCAGCAGCTCATACTGCTGCCCTGCCTATAGAGTAGCCATTCTTTTATTCCTTTACTTTCCTAATAAACTTGCTTTCACTTCATGGACTTGCTCTGAATTCTCTCTTGCATGAGATCTAAGAACTCTCTCTCGGGGTCTGGATCGGGACCCCTTTCCAGTAACACCACGAGACTGCGTCCCTCACTGCCCCTCGTTTCGGCAGTTGCATGGTTCCTTGGTGAGTTTTCCCTCTTTCTCGCTGTCATTTCTCACTATGAGTCTGGCGCTTGTTCTTGGTGTCTTCAGTGGCCACGTCGTTGATCCTTCGGAGGACCTTCGCCCCCTCTCCTCCAGTGAGTGACCCCACCCCTGCAGCCACTCGCTCCCATGCCACGCCCCTGACCCCTCCAGCATCTGTCTCAAACATCCCACTCTTCTTTCTCCACTTTCACCTTGTCACTCATCCTGCAATTCCCAGTCCCAGTGACTATTTTTTTTTTTTTTTTTTGAGACAGTCTTGCTCTGTCGCCCAGGCTGGAGTGCAGTGGCGCGATCTCGGCTCACTGCAAGCTCCGCCTCCCAGGTTCACGCCATTCTCCTGCCTCAGCCTCCCTAGTAGCTGGGACTACAGGTGCCCGCAACGACGCCCGGCTAATTTTTTGTATTTTTAATAGAGATGGGGTTTCACCATGTTAGCCAGGATGGTCTCAATCTCCTGACCTCGTGATCCACCCACCTTGGCCTTCCAAAGTGCTGGGATTAGAGGCGTGAGCCACCACGCCCGGCCCCCAGTGATCTTTGACCCCACTGGGATGGCGACCCTTAGAACCCATGGCCTTCTCATAGCCCCTCGTCTGTCTCACACCTTCCCTCTTTGCCATGTCAGTGACCAGCCCTGCCTTGCACTCACCCTCCCCACCCGCCCTTCTCTTGCTGGGTCCTCCCCACCTGGTGAAACCTCAGCCCTGGTTACATCCTGCACTCCACGCCTGCACCAGCCGCTGTGCAGTAGAAGTTTCTGGAGATGCCCCACTACCACACGGGCAGAGCGTACCATCAGGTCACAACCCCTGAGCCAAGGTGGGCCTTTCACTTGCGTTTCTGTGCTCTGTCCACTCCCCCACCCTCCCAGATGGCAACTCCACCCTCCCCTTTCCTCAGCTCTGCTGTGCCTCCTCCCCATCCTCACTTTCAGCTGATGGCCTCGTCCTCTCATTCCACCCCAAAATTTGAAGCCACTGGAAGAGAATTCCCGCTGGCTCCCTGCACCACCACTACCCGCCCACCATGTCTGTCCCCCTTCCCACCTGCTCCCCGCAGTGCACTGTCTACGTTTCAGGCCAGTGCTACCTGTGTGCAGATGCCCATGGCCTGCTCCAGGGCATGGCTTTCGGAGCTCCCTGCTCCTGCCACATCCGTCCTGACCTCTCTCTTGGCTGCATTGGTCCTGACCTCTCTCTCAGCTGCATCAATCCTCGCCTCTCTCCTGGCTCATTTCTGCCAGCACAAAACTTGGTATAAATGCCCCTGGCCTAAGGAAATCTTTTGACCCACTTTCCTCTCCAGCAGCCTCTCCATTTCTCTGCTTGCCACACGCACACATGCACATATGCACACGCACACACATGCGCACACACGTATGCACACACGCACGATCCATGCACACAATGCATGCACACACAGGAAATTCCTCAGAGAATCATCTGTTGCCACTGTGTCCATTTTCTCTCTCCCTCCCCATTCAGGTTTTTGCCCCTCAACTTTACTGAAACTGTTCCTCTCTGAGCTGCCAAAGTCTGACTAAAGTGACAAATTCTCAGTCCTCAAATTATAGATGCAGAAGCAGCCTCTGACCTGCTGACTGCTCTTGCTTCCTTGAAACGCTTTCTTCTCCTGGCCGCCAGGATGCCACGCACTGCTGGGTTTTCTTGTATCTTCTTGGTCACTTCTCAGTCCACCCTGACCTTCAAACATGCTGCACCCAGAAGTCGGTGCCCTCCACTCACTCCCTAGGGGATCCCCTCCAACCTCATGATTATTTTATTTTATTGCTGGGATTACAGGTGCACGCCACACTCCCAGCTAATTTTTGTTGTTGTTTGAGACGGAGTCTCACTCTGTCGCCCTGGCTGGAGTGCAGTGGTGCGATCTCGGCTCACTGCAACCTTCGCCTCCTGGGTTCAAGTGATTCTCCTGCCTCAGCCTCCCAAGTAGCTGTGATTACAGGCGCATGCCACCACACCCAGCTAAATTTTGTATTTTTAGTGGAGGTGGGGTTTCACCATGCTGGCCAGGCTGGTCTCGAACTCCTAAACCTCAGGTGATGCACTCACCTCAGCCTCCCAAAGTGCTGGGATTACAGGCATGAGCCATGGCACCGATCTGTTTATTTTTGAGACAGTGTCTCACTCTGTCAACCAGGCTGGATTGCAGTGGCGCAATCATGGCTAACTGCAGCCTCCACCTCCCAGGTTCAGATGATCCTCTCACCTCAGCCTCCCAAGAAGCTGAGACCACAAGTGTGCACACCTTGCCCGACTAATATTTTTTATTATATTTTTAGAGATGGAGTCTCCCTATGTTGTCCAGGTTGTTCTCGAACTCCTGAGCTCAAGTGATCCTCCCATCTCAGCCTCCCAAAGTGCTGGGATTAGAGGCAGGAGCCCCCACACCCGGCCCCATGATTGTAAATAACTCTGTCTGCTGGGACGCCTGGGGGATCTTTCCAACCAGATTTCTCTGCTGGACTCCAGACTTGCAGAGCTCTGTCGTCAGCCTCCACGCAGGGCTGCAACAGAGCCACGGCATGTCTGGTCCCAGCAGATGCTCTGCCCAGACCTGTCCTCTCACTCTTTGCTGTCACGCCAGGGCCACTCCATCCCTTCCATTGTTCAGGCAATGAACATGGCATCATCCTTGAACCCTGTCTTTCTCTCATATCCCATAACCAATCTGTCCATGGTTCCACCTTCAAAATATACCCAGATATGTGATGATGTTGAGGAATTGCTGGTAACTTTTTTAGATGTGATAATGGTATTGTGGTTGTGTTTTGTTTTTGTTTTTGTTTTAGACGGAGTTTCGCTCTTGTCACGCAGGCTGGAGTGCAGTGGCGTGACCATGGCTCCCTGCAACCTCCGCCTCCCAGGTTTAAGCAATTTTCCTGCCTCAGCCTCCTGAGTAGCTGGAGTTACAGGCATGCACCACCTCACCTGGCTAATTTTTATATTTTTAGTAGAGACTAAAAACAGGGTAGTGGTGTGATCACAGCTCACTGTAGTCTTGACCTCTTGGGCTCAAGCAATCCTCCTGTCTCAGCCTCCCAAATAGCTGGGACCACAGGCTCCCACCACCACGCCTGGCTAATTTCTTTAAAAATTTTTATAGGGATGGAGTCTCACTGTGTTGCCCAGTCTTGTCTTGAACTCCTGGGCTCAACCAGTCCTCCTGCCCTAGCCTCCTAAAGTGCTGGGATTACAGGGAGGGAGATACCATGCCTAGCTAGTTTCATTTGTTATCTGCCTGGTGTGTGTAGACATCTGCTTTGTCACCTCCATTGTGGAGAGCAACATGGGGTTTCACCATGTTGGCCAGGCTGGTCTTGAACTCCTGACCTCAGGTGATCCATTCCCCTTGGCCTCCCAAAGTGCTGGGATTACAGGCATGAGCCACCACGTCTGGCCATGGTTGTGTTTTTTAAAAGAGCTCTTATCTTTTCCAGAGTCTTACTGAAATATTTACAGATGAAATAATGTGATGCCTGGAATTTACTCACAATAACCTAGGGCAGTGCTTCTCAAGCTTTGGCATGCATTCAAGTCCCCTGGAGGGCTCATTAAAACAGCTTTCTAGGTCTTGAGCCCAGAGCTTCTGATTCACAAGGCCTGGGGTGGGCCCCGTAACTTGTATTTCTAATGCTTGGTGCTGCTGGTGTGAGGAGCCCATTTTGAGTTGAGCTGATCTAAGGTATAGGAGAGTGAGTAGCCTGGGCGTGGGCTGGGAGAAGGTGGAGTTGGTGGGTACGTGGTAATGAAGGTACAAGGGTTTATTATGTCACCCTACTTTTCTTTGGAAAGTTCCGCAACTAAAAAGCACGTGTGTATGTGTGTCTGTCTGTCTGTCTGTCTCCAGAACTCTTCAGCTCTTCCATTGCTGCGCCCTGGCTCAGGCTAGAGTCCTCTCTTGCCCAGGTGGCGCTAGCACCTCCTAACTGGTCTCCTTCCTTCTCTCCTTGTTCCTCTAGAGTCAGTTCTCAACAGAGCAGCCAGGATGATCCCCAGACCCCTGCAGTGGCATTCAGAGTGACACCCAAAACCTTTCTGTGACCTCAAACTTCTGTGCAGTGTGTTCCCCACGCCACTTCCTCCATGAACCTTCAGTCACACTGCCCGCCTCGCTGGGGCTTGCACTGGTCAGGAGTGCTTCTGCCGCAGGACCTTTGCACGTGCCCTTCTGGGCCTACAGTGCTCCTCCACTCTCCATGCAGCCATCTCCCTGGCTTCCTTCAGGTCCGCATTCAGATGTCACCCTTGCAATGAGGCCTTCTCAGACAACACCATCTAAAATGTCACTTCCCCTTCCCCACTATTCATACCCTACTCCCTGCTCACTTTTTCTGCTCCGCGCCTGTCACTGTCTATATTGCACTGATTGATCTTATCTATCCTGGCAGGAAGCTTGAGCAGCGCCCGCCTCTTCCTGGCTGTGCCTCGGCAGTGCCCCCACCCCAGCCTCCCACCCCATCTTGGTCTGCACCCCCTGCCATCACTCATCCATTCATTCCTCCTGTTCCTCTTGGCCACTGCCAAATGCTGGATGGTTTCCATCTGTTTGGTTCACTGCAGTGTCTCTGTCCCTGGAAGGGTGCCAGCCACAGAAGGCACGAAGATGTGTCCACAGAGCCGGCGGCTAAAAATCTGGCAAGAGGAGTCGAGGAAGGGGGCTGAGGAGGTAGAAGGGAGGGCTTTCCTCAAAAGGCCAGAAATTCGTGGCCAGCCAAAGGGGAAGCAAAGACATTCTCGTGTAGGAAAACTTACAGGAAATGCAACTAAAAGCGTGGGAGACAGGAAGTCTGTGTATTTCTGAGATTATCAAGAAAGGGGGGATGGAAGTTGCAAATGGGCAGGCCAAATTCAGTCTGCAGAGGTGTGCTTCCAGCCCACGCAGTGCTTAAAATAAATGGAGATGGTTGCCAGCACTGGAAGGTCTGGAGTGCCCTGTCTCCTGGAAACACTGCAGCCTGGCACCACTGGGCTGGTGAGCATGACTGGCACCTGCAGCAGCTGCCCACCAGCTAATGGCAGGTGTGTGTTCTCTGCTCACCCAAAGCCCTTCCAGCAGCTTCATTTTGTTGTTGTTGTTTATTTGTTTTTGAGACAGGGTAGTGGTACAATCACAGCTCACTGCAGTCTTGACCTCCTGGGCTCAAGCAATCCTGCTATCTCAGCCTCCCAAGTAGCTGGGACCACAGGTTCCCACCACCATGCCTGGTTACTTTTTAAAAGAATTTTTGTAGGGATGGAGTCTCCCTGTGTTGCCCAGGCTGGTCTTGAACTCCTGGGCTGAAGCAATCCTCCTGCCTTGGCCTCCCAAAGTGCTAGGATTACAGGTGCGAGCCACCATGCCTGGCTAGCTTCATTTGCTACCTTCCTGGTGTGTGTAGACATCTGTGTTGTCACCCCCATTTTGGAAAGCAAAAAGGATTTCTTCTTCCTTCAAACATAATTGAGAAAATACAGTTGTTTGGGGGCAAGTAGGGTGCGGGGTGACTCTGGAACCGGCCTCCTGGGAAGCCAGGCCTCTGGGAGTGCTGGAGGTGGGCAGTGAGGCTGCCAGGCCCCTGCCTTCTGGGGTGGGGTGCATGCTCCTGATACATCAGAAGGGTCGGGGGAGGACTTGGAGGTGAAGGCACTGCAGGAAGAGAGGAAGCTTACTGGAGAGACGGTCAATGGGGCAGTCAGGCTTTAAAAGGACGGGCCCACCAAGTGAAAAGATGACCAAGTGTTTGGGCTGAATTGTGTCCTCCAAAAGGATATGTTGAAGCCTAACCCCCGGGACCTCAGAAGGGGATCTTATTTGGAGATAGGGTTGTTGCAGTTGTAACGCTGAGATGAGATTATACTGGAGTAGGGTGGGCCCTTAATCCAGTGTGACTGCTGTTCTAAGAAGATGTACATGTGACAATGGAGGGACATGTGGGGAGAGGATGGCCACGTGATGATGGGGGGGACATGTTGGGAGAGGATGGCCACGTGACAACAGGGGGATGTCAGGAGAGGATGGCCTCGTGACAACGGGGGAATGCCAAAAGAGGATGGCCTCGTGATGACAGGGGACACATGGGGAGAGGATGGCCTTGGGACGACAGGACATGTGGGGAGGGGATGGCCACGTGATGATGGGAGGACATGTGGGGAGAGAATGGCCACATAATGGTGGGGGGACACATGGAGAGAGAATGGCCACATAATGGTGGGGGGACACGTGAGGAGAGGATGGCCACATGACAATTGGGGGACACCACGCGGGGAGAGGATGACCACATAACAACGAGGGGACATATTGGGAGAGAATTGCCACGCGACGACGGAGGAAGGGACTGGAGTGAGGAAGTCATAAGCCAAGGAACGCCAAGGACAGAACAAGCAGCAAACACAAGACACAGGGCCAGGTAAGGAGGTCCCCGGCTCCAGGTATCAGAGGAGCCCTGCTGATGCCTGGATTTCAGCTCTCTGGCCTCTGGACCCAGAAGAGAATGAAGTTCTGCTGCCTGGGGCCTCCCAGTTTGTTTACAGTGAGTCTGTTCATGGTGGAGAAACATCTTCTCATGATGTTCCTGTCCACCATGGTCAAGGCCTGTTTTGAGCTCCTGCATTGTATAAGTCAGAGGTAAAGCTGTTTTTCTCAAGGGGTCAATAATTGACAGTATTGGAATGGGACAAGGTGGTCCTGTTGGGTTTTGTTTGTTTGTTTTTAAAATATGAGGATAGAAAGTCGTGTTTTTACTTGTGCTTAATTTTCCCAGTGGCCGGGATGTGAAGTCCACGCCTGTCATCTGTAATGCACCAGGGCAAGGGGTCGGTTTTGTTTGCATAGCTTCTCCCAGGGTCATCTTCCCACCCCTCAAGTGTGGATTTGGCCACAACACTTTGTTTAGCAATTTCCTGTCATTTTGTTTTATTTGGTCAGGCTTATTTGCATAGTTGAATGAATGCACAAAGGCCTCCTTGTTTCGTGGTTCACAAAGTCAGAACTGGATCATACCAGGGCATACGGGTTCTGTTTCAAGGCTTTGTAAAGCTGCTAGGGTTGAAATAGGTATTTTTGGTGTCGGAATTATTTTATTGCATTTATCAGTTTATCTACTGAGATGGGGCACTGAGAACTGCTGATTTACCTCTCTGCAGCCCTGTCTGCAGTACCTGAAGGCTGGGGGAAGACATTTGGCAATGCACACAGCCTTTGTTTCTGCCTGTGAAGTTGGGGTTTCATAGGCCACCTCCCAGGAGGGCCCTGTAGGTGCATGACAGAGTCCGAGTGTCTCACCAGTGGGTTTGTCATTGCACCCAAGCAGATGCTGGGGGAGAGGATGCCTCTTCCTTCTCCTCACCCTTCATCAGTGTGTGAGCAGAGGCAGGAGACCTGTGGGCTGGAAGGCCCACATCCTCCTTCCCAGGCTGTGAATGTGGCACTTACATGGCAGGAGGACTTTGCAGATGTGATCAGGACCTTGAGAGGAGACATTATCCTGGATGATCTGGATGAGTCCATCGCACTCACAGGGTCCTTAAAAGCTGGAAGAGGGAGGCCAGGCAGGGAGAGGGAAGGAAATGTGAGGATGGAAGAGGGATCCGATTGCCGCGATTGCTGAATTTGAAGAGGAAGGAAGGAGCCGAGAGCCAAGGAATCCAGGCAGCCTCTGGGAGCTGCAAGAGACAAGGAAATGGATTCTGTCCTGCAGCCTTCGGAGCAGATGCAGACCTGCCGACACCTTCCTTTCAGCTCAGCGAAATCCATTTCAGAATTTTGAGTGCAGAGCTGTAAGGTCATGAGTCTGTGCTGCTTAAGCCACTGTGTTTGTAGTCATTTGTTGCGGTAGTAAAGGAGACTAATATGCTATTTTGCCACCATTCTGAGCTTTTGAGGCAGGCTGATGGAAAAGGTGGGACAGTGGCTTCCCAGTACTTTTCTAAGTGATCCTGAGAACCTAATATCCCAGGCACTTCATATTCTGTAACTCTCCACCCTGCTGCCAGCAGAGTCTGCTTAGTCCTCAAGACGAGGGGCTTCTGCTGCTCTCAGAGGTTGATGATTTCATTGATTATCTTTAAGTTACTCTGCACTCTCCCTTCCCCAGAGAAAACCCAGTCAAATTCAAGTGAGCATTGGGGAAAATATTCATTCATTAAACTGGTTCTTAACCTTTTTGGGGGCACCGACCTCTTGAGATTCTGTTGAAAATGGGATTTTAGCCCCCATAAAAATACATATCAAAAATTTGCATAAATTTTGGCCAGGCACAGTGGCTCATGCCTGTAATCTCAGCACTTTGGAAGGCCGAGACGGGCAGATCACTTGAGGTCGGGAGTTCAAGACCAGCCTGGCAACATGGCGAAATGCCGTCCCTACTAAAACTACAAAAAATAGCTGGGTATGGTGGCGCATGCCTGTAATCCCAGCTGCTTGAGTGGCTGAGGTGGAAGAATAGCTTGAACCCAGGAGGTGGAGGTTACAGTGAGCTGAGATTGCACCATTGTACTCCAGCCTGGGCAACACAGCGAGACTGTCAAAAAAAAAATTGCATACAATTTTGAGAACAATTTTGTATACAGATTCCCCCAGGAGCTACCCCTTGAAGCTCCAATGGCTGCCAGGGGCTTCCTCTGTCACCCCAGGTGAAGAGCCCTTGTACAGATTAATTCACATTAAGGCTGATGAATGGCTGTTTTCCTAGTAAGTCTCCTCGCTGTTTGCCAGGTCCTTAAACCATGTTCAGTGGATCCTCATTATTTGTGGATTCCATATTTGTAAATTCATCTGCTCTCTAAAATTTGTTTGTCACCCCAAGATCAGAACTCATAGACACCAGCAGAGTGGCAAAAATGTGTTACCCGATGAGCCTTTTCCCAGCTGAAAAGGATGCTCTGCCATCTTGTTTCAGCCTCTTGGTGTAAACGAGTGTGGTTTTCATGATTTGTTTAGTGCCATGTTTTCCATGTTTTGTGCTTTTTCTTCGTGGTTTCACTGTTTGAAAGTGCTGTCTAGTGTTTCCAAGTGCAAGAAGGCAGTGATGTGCCTTATGGGGAAAATATGTGTGTTTGATAAACTGTATTCAGGTTTGTGTTCTAGTGCCACTGGTTGAGTGTTAACGAATCAACACTGTACAGATGATTCCTGACTTACGATGGTTCCTTCCAGTATGATTTTTCAACTTAACAACGGTGTGAAAGTGATATGCATTCAGTAGAAACCATCTTTCAAATACCCATGGGACCATTCTGTTTTTCACTTTCTGTTCAATAGTCTATACATTTCATAAGATATTCAACACTCTTTCAGAAAGTAGGCTTTGTATTTCATGATTTCGCCCAGCTGTAGGCTAACATGTGTTCTGGATAGGTGGAAGGCAAGCTGAGACATACCTCTATGGTGTTTGGTAGGTTAGGTGTATTGAATGCATTGTCAACTTAGGATATTTTCAACCTATCCTGGGTTTATCAGGACATGACCCCATTGTAAGTTGAGGACCATCTGTTTATTCAGTAAGGTGTCTTTTAAATAGAAAAACACATAAAACAAGGTTAGTATTGATTGATTGACAAAAATGTTGCAACCTGAGGCTTTCAGGAACCTAACTCTGCATTTCCTTTAGGAGTGCTGCTTGCTTCAGTATCTGCTGGTAACTCTATGGAACATAGCTACTGTGAATAATGGGAATTGGGTGTATTTTCAAGTTGTTGGCCTCTCCAGCTACGCTGGTAATCAGTCCTGCTCTTTAAATCACATCTTACCATCAGTCCTGCCTAGAGAAATGGAGGAAGGGAGGTCTCTGGTCTTACGGTCTGTCCCGACTCTCTGCCCCACCAGCTATGTCCCGAGAACCAGCCTGGACAGAGCCATCTGATTGGTGGGTGGTAGCAGGTCATGTTGTGAGGCCCTGGTGCCTGCCTTCTGTCCTCCTGTGCTCGCTAGAGGAGCATGAGGCAGGAGCAGCCAGTCCATGCTGGTTCCTGAGCGAGGCAGCTCTAGGGCTGCCAGCACCCACTCCTGGGGGGCTGAGGGTAGGAAGAGCTTCAGAGGGGAGGATGGGACTGTCTGACTATATTTCCAATCCCAGTTGGGACTTGTGGTCTGATGAGGACAAGTGCCTTTGAGGGGGATGGGGATGGTTGAGAGGAACCAGGAAATCAAATGTGTCCTGGAAAACATGGCATGGTGGATCTTTTGAGTTGGGGTGTTGGGATGTGTGTCAGCTAAAACAAGGTTCACCTGCTTCAAATGTTCATCCAAGCTTTCTACACTTGCCTCTCTGAGTCAACATCTTTAGAGACAGCAGGAAGTGATGAAAGTCAGTTCACAGTCCATCTGCTCTGAGGGCTTGGTATGAGGGGCTGATGTTTTCTGTCATTTTCTCCTTTCTAACATTTCACTTTGGGATCTTAGTTCCTGGTTGAAATTCCTTAACTGTGGGAGTCGAGGCAGCCTAAGAATCCTTTTCGGCTGCTTAAGACAATGAGGTAGAGAGGGAACCAGCTGCCCCTTTTCTTACCTCCATGATGATGTAGAAATGGTTCCATCCAGCCCAAGGGTTCTTCTGGGGCCCAAAGCTCCTTAAGGGCTCTGTGCATAGGATTTGAGGATTAGTTTTCTTGGGTGGGGAGAAAAGTCCATCTTTATTTGTATAAATCCTACCTGAAATGCAGCATTTCCTCTAATTAGGAAGGCAGGCAACAAAACCAGTATGTTAGCTATGTCTGTGACTCTGTCACCAATGTGGGTTAGCCGTATCTCTGACCCTGTCACCAATTGCAATTACAGATGTCTCCACATCACATTAGTGTTGTTTCAGATATCTTGAAGTAGCATTTGTTCCCATTACTAGTTTTAAATTAAGGTGGTTAATAGACCCCACTGGATTTTGCGATTTAATATGCTGATAAGGCACATATATTGCTATACTATAACATTTTTTAAAAATTTTGATAACTAGATTTCAATAAGATTGGTATTTGTGATCATATTTATTTTCTTGATTTTTATAACAGCTTTATTGAGATATAATTTCTGTACCATACAACTCATTAAAGTGTACAACTCCATGTTTCTAAAATATATTTTCAGGATTGTACAACCATCACCACCACCATCACCATAATCTAATTTTAGAATATTTTTGTCCCCCTTAAAAGAAGCTTCGTACTCATTAGCAATTATCTACATTCCCCCTTTCCCCACTCTCAGCCCCTGGCAACCACAACATCTACTTTCTGTCTCTAGAAATGTGCCTGTTCTGGACGTTTCATAGAAATGGAATCTTGTTTTTGAGACAGAGTCTCACTCTGTCACCCAGGCTGGAGTGCAGTGGCGTAATTTCGGCTCACTGCAACCTCCACCTCCTGGGTTCAAGCCATCCCCCTGCCTCAGCCTCCCGAGTAGCTGGGATTACAGGCGTGTGCCACCACGCCCAGCTAATTTTTGTATTTTTAGTAGAGATAGGGTTCCGCCACGTTGCCCAGGCTGGTCTCGAACTTCTGACCTCAGGTGATCCGCCTGCCTTCGCCTCCCAAAGTGCTGGGGTTACAGGTTACAAAGTAAGCCACTGTGCCCGGCCAAAATGGAATCTTTCTGAGGTCTTTTGTGACTGGCTTTTTTCATGTAGCATAATGTTTTCAAGGTTCATCTATCTTTGTATTTTGTTCTGTGCACTTAAAACATTATTCTGAGAAGGGGTCTAAAGGCCTGCCCCGTCGTCACCAGAAGGGCCTGTGGCATCATTGGAGAGGTTAGGGCTCTCCCTAACCATTAGGGCTCCCTGCGCCTAATGGTTCTTCCCTCTGTCAGTTTTGCATTAAAACTAGTACATGCCTTGGCTTGAGCATGGACAATCACTGCCAAAGACCCGGCAGGCAAGGCACGCAGCTTTCCTTGGGATGGGTTGGACCCAGGCCCTGGGCACTCAGAGGTACTCAGGCACCTCTGCCCAGTCTCCCCAAGTTACCACCTCCACAGGTGCCTTGGAGTGAGTGGGCATCTCCAGGATGTAGCCTCTAGTGGATGATACCCGTGGACAGGGACAGCAAGGTAGAGTAATAGGGCCAGGCCCCAGGTGCCTGCCCCCAGCTGGACGCCAGAACCCCAGGACCCCAGCTCCTCCAGCCCCCAGGAAGCTGTCAGCACTTCCAGAGAGCAAGCTGTTGGTGGGAAGGTCTGAATCCTTGCAGCTCTGTGATTCGCGAATCATAAAACCTCCACACTTGGTGTTTGTGGGCCGAGCTATTGTCTTTGTGTTTTCTTTTTGGAGTGGGTGGGAAGCCAGCTTGGCAAGCCGGGTGTGAATGAACAGGAATGAGCAGGAGACGCTCGCTGATGCCTTCTGTGATGTGTTTCTTCCCCAGCTCCAGAAGAAAAGGAAGTCATTAAAGGACAGTATGGCAAGCTCACGGACGCGTACGGCTGCCTGGGGGAGCTGAGGCTGAAATCTGGTGAGTAGCCGCTCGCTGGAGGAGCAGGCGCCAGGCTCCCCGGTGGGCAGGAGCCTCTGTGTCGGAAGGGGCCTCAGTGCAGGCATTCTGTTTGACCGCTCTTCTCTCTCTCTTCTTTTTTTTTTTTTTTTTTTTTTCTCCGAGATAGAGTTTTGCTCTTGTTGCCCAGGCTGCAGTGCAATGGCGCGATCTCGGCTCACCACAACCTCTGCCTCCTGGGTTCAAGCAATTCTCCTGCCTCAGCCTCCTGAATAGCTGGGACTACAGGCATGCGCCACCATGCCCAACTAATTTTTTGTATTTTTAGTAGAGACGGGGTTTTTCCATGTTGGTCAGGCTGGTCTGAAACTCCGACCTCAGGTGGTCCACCTGCCTCAGCCTCCCAAAGTGCTGGGATTACAGCCATGAGCCGCCGTGCCTGGCCGACCTCTCTTCTCTTTTAAGATGTTTCTTTATGCCTCGGGACCTGCTCCTCCTGCAGGAACCTGCAGGTGGGGAGGTCAAGGTGAGTGTTGCCTGGTTGTCACCTGCCTGTGCTGGGGAGCAGGGTGGGGTTCCCGGCACCCCCACCCTGTGCCAGAGAAGCTCGTCTTCATTGCTTGCCGGCGAGGGCCTAAGTGTTTCGAAAGTCTGGTCTGGGGCTTCTGCCCAGGGCATTGTCCGCAGTACTCTAGAAGATGTGCCAAGGCGGGTGGGTGAAGACAGGGACCAGGGCAGATGCCCGGGGGCACAGGGGTGGGCTGGGAGTTGTCAGCAGGAGAAAAAAGCCACCGATGTGTGACTGTCAGTCAGTGTGGGGTGGGAGGGAGAGGAAGGGACAGTGTGATCTGACTTGCGAAGGGAGAGAACTTCCAGGAAGACGTGGGCATCTCTGCTCACTCTGAGAGACTCGGGGGTGAGCCGGTGGTGGCCGGCTGTCGTGGGTGGTCACAGCCAAACTCAGCTGTTCCTGGAGCTCAGGAGCCCTGGGGCTTTAGGTTCTACCACCTGTTTCCTTCCTTCTCTCTCAGGGGCCCCCTTGCCATCTGTGACCTGGCTGTGGACATCTCTTGTGACTTCTGGGGCCGAGACAAGAGCCCAGTCGCATTCCTGATTCTCAGTCCCACCTGGCTGAGATGGGAATGGCTGTATGGGTTGTCTGAATTCGGGCTTTCCCTGAGCCAAGCGCACACCTCCCTTCCCTGCTCACAGCAGCTGTTTTCAGAGACTGAGGATGTTTAAAGCTGCCAGAAAAGCACGGTTACGTTGGCCATTCCTTTTCTGGGTGTTTTCTGTCATGGAATGTTTTTCCCTGAACTGTGACGATTACAGTGATCATTTCCAAATAGCATTTAGGAAAAATACACAGTACCCACATGACAAAGTGCATTTATGAAATGTCTGTTTCGTGCCAAGAGCTAGCCGTACATTCACTTATTTAATCCTAAAAATAGGCTACCGTGATAATGCATCTTTGTCCCCGTTTACAGTAACGGGAACAGGCTCAGAAGCTTCAAGTAACTTGCCTTAGGTCAGAAACTTAGTTGGGGTTTGAAGCGCCTCCAAACGCTTGCTTTTTCTGTGGAAATGTGCGGGCTGCCGAGGGTTTTCTGCAGGACTTTCCGCTCTGCAGCGATCTTCCTGAAGTTGCAGGAAATCCCTGTGGCCCTTGCCTTCCATGGTGATGACCGTGAGGATGGTGGCCTGCACCTGCATGGGACTCACTTAGGAACTTGTTAACACGGCTCCCGAGGCCACCTGTGCTGTTGTCACCCTGCCTTGCAGGTGTGGCAGGGATGCCGCGTTCCATCCATGCTGATGCCCTTTTTTCCACATGGTAGTATCTGGGCCCCCAGGATGCCTCACAGTCTTGGCTTCCTTCAGTTATAGTTGGCAGCTGCTTTTGGTCCTTACATGAATGACTCATTTTGCATCCGACAGGGACTGGGATTCGACGAATTACAGTAACCGGCTCAAGGTCACGCCATTCTCAAGTGGTGCCCTGGGTTTTAAACTCATGCCTTGCGGCACCAGGGACTGCCTTCAACCACCAGGCTGTTCTCCTTTCTGAAAGGGACAGGTGGCTGGGCTCACAAGGGGGACAGGAAGTGCAGTACCTTCCCCCATCCCAGGGGAAAAGTGTTTTTTCCCAGGGCTGTGATCTAAGATCAGCTGTGGGAAATTGGTCCTAACCAGGAAGGGTGGCAGCCCCAAAGATGTCTTATTAGAGCGAGCCAGGGTGTCTGCGGGGGTCAGCAGGGTCTAATGGGGCAGGGAGTGCTCAGAGAGGAGACCACCTCCCAGGGCTGCCCTAGGCGAGGCCTCCTCCCTGCCTTCAGCCAGTCCCCGCCACCCCACACCCCACAGAAGGGAATGAGGCTTCTTGTGGACCATGCGAGACCAGCCCTGCTCCGAGGCTTTGGGTGCCCCCAACCCCTGCCCACCTGTGAGAGTCACCCCCCGGAGTGGGTTGGAGTTTCTCTGAGTGTGGTGTGTATGAGTTTGACTTTGGCGATGTCAGGATAATTTGGTCTGTTTTCAACACATTCTGGAAAGCACCCTGAGCATCTGAAGGATGGAAGGATTGGGCTTTAAATCAAGTTTTTTCAGTCCCCATTGGTTATCTTAAGGGGCGTTTGACTTTAACTTGATTTTCTTTTTCCCCTGTAAGTCCCTGACCCAGAACTGTGATCTATTTTCTTTTGTGTTTTCAGCTGTTGAGCATGTTGGGCAGCACGGAGTGTAGCTACAACTGTGTGACCCCACCTGTGTGACTGACTCCACCTGTGTGACTCCAGTCGTGTGACCAACTACAACTGTGTAACTGACTCCAATTGTGTGACTAACTCCACCTGTGTGACTCTGCGTGACTCCAACTGTGACTCCATCTGTATGACTCCAATTGTGTGACCCCCACCTGTGTGACTCTGACTGTGTGACCCCCACCTGCGTGACTCTGACTGTGTGACCCCCACCTGCGTGACTCTGACTGTGTGACCCCCACCTGCGTGACTCCGACTGTGTGACCCCCACCTGTGTGACTCCAACTGTGGACTGACTCTAACTATGTGACTGACTCCAACTGTGTGACTAACTCCACCTGTATGACTCCAACTATATGATTGACTTCAACCGTGTGACCCCACCTGTGTGACTCCAATTGTATGACTGACTCTAACTGTGTGACTCCAACTGTGACTCCATCTGTATGACTGACCTCAACTGTGTGACCCCACCTGTGTGACTCCAACTGTGTACTGACTCTGTGTGACTGACTCCACCTGTATGACTCCAACTATATGACTGACTTCAACCGTGTGACCCCACCTGTGTGACTCCAGTTGTGTGACTGATTTCACTGCGTGGCTAACTCCACTGTTGCCTGACTCCAGCTGCGTGACTTCAGCTGTGTGACTCCATGTATGTGACCCTAGCTGTGTGACTCCAACTTTCAGTTGCCACGAAGACAACCAGCTGAGTCAGGAGTGGGCCTCCCTTTCAATGTTTTTAGCTAAGCATCTCTGCGCAAAGAAAGAGGCTTCCCCACAGGCTCTTAATTTGGGACAAGTTTTCCCTTAGTTTGGGAAAAATTTCAATCTACCTAAATTAGCCTTTTACATTAGAAATCGAGAAATATGCACAAAAATTCATAAAAGCCTTTTTCCAGGTTCCAAGGTTTTTGTAGAAAGCCCAAAGTTCCCCTTTCCTTCCTGAAATGCCAGCAGGAAGGGGTTGGAGCTCCCGTGATTAGCCAGGGAGTCAGGCTTCCTGAAGTTTACACAATACAAAGCATATTAAGTGAGAATGTAGCAGAAAAAAGAACTTATCCCAATGATTATAGCAATTTAAATTCTCTTGAACCCAAGCTCTCAAGGCCTACCTGTTTTATAGCCTCAAGGGACTCTACTCCTATCCCAGACTATAATGAATTGTGTCTCCTGGAGTTGTGCAGTACGCAACCTGTGAAGCTGTACACGACAGCCCTATAAATTCTCTAGCAGACAGCCCTCCTAGATTCTAGTTCCCACTTCACAGCTGAACTGCATTTAATCTCTGTAGGACTGTTTTCCTGTCTGTAAACCTGGGAAAACTGCCTCATCTCTATGTTGCCTAGTTCTCAGGAGGTCCACATGGGCCATGCACATGGTAGCCATGAAGAGTGTGGAGTGCTCCTCCAACACCAGGCGGGCTGGCCACAGGCAGTTTCTTAGAGTGTGGCCTGGGGACGCTGCCACCACTGAGAAGCTCTGCTGTCTCTCCTCTGTCCCTGGGAGGGCTGGAGGGAGGAGGGTGCTGAGTGAGAGGGACCTGGCCTGCAGAGGGCTGAGGACGAGGTGTGAGCTGGAAGGCCAGGCTGTGTGGCCTCGGGGTGTGGACTCCTGGTGGGGGGCTCCTCTGCACAGGCTAGCAGAGGGCTGGTTTCATGGGCAGTCACTTCAGAAGGAGGATTCCCTGGAGGGGAGTTTGAACCCTTAGTCTTTTGGGATGCAGTGTTCTCTAGCAAGTCTTGAAGCGAACTGGCCTTTGTCGGTCTTAGATTAATTTAATTCCTGTGCCCAGTGGTGGGATATTACCAAGAGAGTTGACACCCAGCTCCCTGAGGGGGAAGCTCTGAGATGATGCAGCATTTGCCAGTTTCCAAGGTGTAAATTCACGGGCCAGGGCTGATTTCAGGTTCCCAGCGTGGAGCTGAGGAAGGATCTGCACCAGGGGTGCTCACTGCGGGTGTTCACTGCTGTGGCCGCCGCTGCCTACACCTCCCTCATGTTCTGCAGAAGGGAGGCGGGAGAAGGCCCTGAGACCATGCCGCATGGGCACACAGTGCTTAGGGTTCTGAACCTGCGGGTGGCGGGGGAGGCTCAAGGGTCATCTGGCCGAAGCTTCCCCCTTCACAGGTGGGAAAGCCTAGACATCTTTAGTCCTTTGTTTGGAGCTTTAAGTCTGAGGGTGTCTGTGTGAGCAGAGGGACAGATAGGATGGCTGGAGGGACCCCAGGGTTGGGATTGGCACAGACCAGGCTGGGAAGGTGAACTCAGAGCTGAGACAACACAAGGAAATGCCAGCCCAGAGCCTTGTGGGAGGCCTGGGGTGGTCCCGGTAAACGGGGCCTTGGGTCTGCAAGCCACGTATCATGACTCCAACAGCCAGCTTTCCTGGCCTGATAACAAATTGCCTAGGACCTGCCACTGGCTCTTGCCTCCCTCCACCTCACTCTGGCAGCTCCCTCTGACCCATGCATGGCTTTGCTTTGGCCAGAGCCCTGGAACCAAAGCCCTTTACCTGGAGGGGACATTGAGACTATTGGCGCATCCTCCTGGGAGGCCCAGAGAGGGTAAGAGCCTTGCCTGAGGCCACACAGGCCACTGGAGGTGTGCAGAGCCTGGAGCCCCACTCTTCTGAGTTTTGTTTTTCCACTTGCTATGAGATCCTTGATGGTTTCAGGGCCCTGGTCTCTCCCTCAGCTGAGGACTGCCAAGAACCCCGCAAGCCTAGTTAGCTTCTTGGCTGTCAGAGAATTGATCCTGCCTCACAAAAGCAAATCCTGTGCTCTAGGTGAGCATCGGGAGGGGCCTCACACACCTGGGGCAGGTGGGGACCAGTGGCTTGTACCACACTGACGGTGGCCCGGGAGTCAGCGACCCCCCACAGCCTGGTGCTAGGCTCAAGCCAGGACACTTTCCTTAAAACCCATAGTACAGGCCAGGCATGGTGGCTCATACCTGTAATCCTAGCACCTCAGGGGGCCGAGGCAGGAGGATCACTTGAGCCTAGAAGTTCAAGACCAGCCTGGGCTATGTAGCAAGACTATGTCTCTACATAGTGATGGTATCTACAGCACCATGCCAGGAGCGGTGGTGCACGCCTGTAGTCCCAGCTACTTGGGAGGCTGACATGGGAGGATCGCTGGAACCCAGAAAGGGGAAGTTGCAGTGTACTGAGATCAAGTCACTGCACTCCAGCCTGGGTGACAGTGCAAGAACCTGTCTCTAAATTTAAAAAAAAAAAAAAAAGCAAACAAACAAAAAACCCATGGTATACAGAGAACACAGTCAGGCAGTCAGGCTGTCAATGAGATTAGGCAGGACACAGTGAGGCTGGGATTGAAGGAGGAGGAAGCCATCAGTGCTGGGTCAGGTAGGCAGGGCGGGGCCTTCCCGGAGAGGCAGCGCTCCACACAGCGGTCCTGAGGTTTGGGTAAGGCTCTTCCACAGAGGCCTCTGTGGTTACACCCGTCCCACCAACTGTCTGGGACACACAGGCAGGGGCAGTTCTAAGGAAAAGTGTCCAGGTCCTTGGCTTTTTTCTATCATGGAGCACCTGTGATGGAGGACAGGGTTCTTATTCCCCTCTGAGGTCTCCCTGCTTCCATGTTAGGGTAGAGGGTAGGCCCTTCTCTCTTCTGGAAGCTCACCGTGTGCCGTGCTCCAGGAAGTAACTCCCCCTAGGATTCCAGACAAAGGGACAGTTCAAAAGCTTGTCAACAGCATTGCAATAAGGTCAGGACTAGGTAGCAATCTGTTTGCAAGTCAGGTGATGTCCAATTGTTTGCTTCCCCCATAACGGAAGGAGAATTTAATTGGGGTATCAGCTGACACATTAGTAACCATTTTATCAGCAGGTTATTGTCATTTCTTAGCGCTAACTCAGAAGGACTTTGAAGAATCGAGTGACATTTCTACAATGAAGCCCTTTCCATTCCCATCTATTTATTAATGTGAACAGGATCTTTTAGTGTTTGCGTCTACAAAAATGAAAACTAGAATTAGAATTGGTGCAGAACCTACTTTCATTCCTTCAATAAATATTTATTCATCTCATTAAGAGATGCCTTTCCAACACATTATGACTTTTTGTATCAAATGATTATTTGTCGGCCAGGCACGGTGGCTCATGCCTGTAATCCCAGCACTTTGGGAGGCCAAGGTGGGCGGACCACTAGAGGTCAGGAGTTCTAGACCAGCCCAGTCAACATGGTGAAACCCCATCTCTACTAAAAATACAAAAATTAGCTGGGCATGGGGGCTCATGCCTGTAATCCCGGCTACTCAAGAGGCTGAGGCAGTAAACCTGAAAGGCGAAAGTTGAACCCGGGAGACAGAGGTTGCAGTGAGCCCAGATTGCGCCACTGCACTCTAGCCTGGGCGACAGAGCAAGACTGTCACCTCCCAGAGACCCCACCTCCTAAAACCATCGCCTTGGGTGTTCATACTTCAGCATATTAATTTGGGGGTGCACACATTCAGCCAATAGCAGGTACACTGGTTGACCACACTCTTAAAGAGGACAGCCAAAAAAAATTATTTGGCAGTGTTTTATTTACATTGTATTGTTTACATTGTTTGACCAGTTAGGTATCACTGGAACGATAAACCAGAACGCTCTCTTTTTAAACACTTGGAGTTGAGGAACACACGGCTGCAGGGGCTGATGGGGTGATCAGAACAGGACGTAGAAGCACCAGATATGCTACATTAGGATGGAATTCTGAAGAGGGGGGACTGGAAATATGAGTGAAAGTTCCATGTGGTAAGAAAGAGCATGCTCCTGCAATCCTGTAAATAATAGATGGCAATGAGTATCACGTTACTGTGTAGATTCCATGGGATACTGACAAGAGGCTCCCAGAGTTTTAGTTTTACGTGTCAATATTTAGAATACACTGCACAATATATTATTTACAGGCATTTCAACTACCGATGAAAACCTTCAATGGCAGTTTTAAAATGGGCAGGGAACGCTGTCTGAGTCCAGTGTGTTGCTGTGACAAAGTTCCGTAGTAGACGGGGTGGCTTATCAGCAACAGACATTTATTTCGCGCAGTTCTGGAGGCTGGAAGTCCGAGACCAGCGGCCCGCAGATTGGCCGGCTGTGAGGACCTGCTTCTTGCTCCATAGATGCTGCCTTTTCTCTGCATCTGACATGGTGGGAGAGGTGCAGGAGATCTCTGGGCACAAACCCCATTCATGAGGGCTCCACTGCCATAACCCAGTCACCTCCCAAATACCCCCACCACCTCAAACCATCACCTTGGGTGTTCGTACTTCAGCATATTAACTTGGGGGTGCACACATTCAGTCAATAGCAGGTACACTGGTTGACCACACTCTTTTAAAGGGTACAGCAGGCCAGGTGCAGTGGTTCACACCTGTAATCCCAGCACTTTGGGAGGCTGAGGCAGGTGAATCACCTGAGGTCAGGAGTTCGAGACCAGCCTGGCCAACATGGTAACACCCCATCTCTACCAAAAATACAAAAAATTAGCCGGTATAATCCCAGCAACTCGGGAGGCTGAGGCAAGAGAATTACTTGAACCCAGGAGGCGGAGGTAGCAGTGAGCTGAGATTGCACCACTCCACTCCAGCCTGGGCAACAAGAGTGAAACTCCATCTCAAAAAAAAATAGCCGGGCGTGGTGGCTCACGCCTGTAATCCCAGCACTTTGGGAGGCCGAAGCAGGCAGATCACCTGAGGTCGGGAGTTTGAGACCAGCCTGACCTACATGGAGAAATCCCATCTCTACTAAAAATATAAAATTAGCTGGGCGTGGTGACGCATGCTTGTAATCTCAGTTACTCCAGAGGGTGAGGCAGGAGAATCACTAGAACCTGGGAGGCAGAGGTTGCGGTGAGCCGAGATCACACCATTGCACTCCAGCTTGGGCAACAAGAGTAAAACTCTGTCTCAAAAAATAAATAAATAAATAATACATGCATACATACATACATACGTACATACATACATACATACAGGGTACAGCAAACTAATCCGATTGGAAACTGCCGGACTTTGGGGCTAGATGGAGCATGGGCTTAAAGTGAAACCTACATTTTGGCTCCAACACAGACTAGCTGTGTGCTTGGGCGGGTGATTCAGCTTCCCTGGGGGACAGTCATGCGTGTGTGAAATGGCAGTGGTAGCCCTGAGACAGCAGCATGGGTAAGCAGGCTGGCGACGTCATCTGCAAGGAGGTGTAATTAGGAGCACCAGCTCTGGGGCCAGACTTGGCTTGAGAAACTTGCCCAGGCACTGTAGCTAGAAAGTGGATTTGGATCCCAGCTCCCCGCTCTGTCACCTTGGGCAGGCTGCTTAACCTCTCTGTGCGTCTGTTTCCCTCCCTGTGAGATGGGGCTGGTAAGGGCGCCCCTTGCGGTGGGCGGGAGGATGGAGTCCGCGCCTGTACAGCTCCCCTGCCTCCACTGCGCTCACCAGATACCGGCTCTCCTCACTCCCCTGTACCACTCCCGACCCCCTCCTCCCTGGACCCAGGAGCCCCAGTGCTCTGTGGCAATGTTAAGAGCCTCTCCTGGCTGCTACAGTGCTCCTCTCCCCAGCCTCCCCCAGGCCGTGGTCCTGCCCAGGAAATGCACCTGGGACTGTTGCCAGGCACTCAGGCCCCCCACACGGAGGCTGTTGAGGAAGTGGTGCTAGAAATCAGCTCATGACTCTCACGGAGTGATGTCATGCAAAATTTTCCATAGCTCTGGCAGCCACAGGGGCCATCCTCCTGCCTCTCCGAGGGCACTTCTGCTGAACTGTGCTTTTCCCTGCACTGTGTCAGAAGAGGCAGGTGGGTGCCGGGAGCGCTCTGTGGCCAAGGCTCTGATCACAAGCTGCCAACCCCGGAACCCCACCTATCCTACTTGAGAAGCTGAACTCTGACCCCTGTCCCTGTCCCCAGTGTGATAACTTCCTTTGTTCTTAGGTGGTTTTGAGGTGGTTTCCTGAGGATGTGTCTGGGGAGATGTGATGGGATCAACCCCCTGCCCTGCTGGCAGCCCCACCCCATGGCATAGCAGCAGGCCCCTGGGAGCCCTGAGCGCTCATTAAAGGAACGCACTTTAATGACAGCCACACGCCACCCTGCCACAAGCAGCGCTCTTCTCCCTATGAAGTGTGGTGAGGAAATTGGGGTGAGAGGGTGGTGGAACTGGTTGTTTTGGGGGTCTCTTCCTGGAGTGTGGAGAGATCAGAACCATCTCCAGACCATGGCTGTAGACAGCGGCCCTTGATCATTCACAGAAGATCTCGCTGGGCGGATCCTTCAGACCTCAGCGGGGTGGGAAGAGTGTCCTTGGGACTAGAGCCCTGCCAGACCCCAAAGGCCGGTTTCTACCCGATGATCTCTTGGGCCCCGTCCCGAGAGTGAGGCACGGCGCCACCAGGCACCCCCGATACGCAGCGTGTTGTGAAGTGCCCTTGTGAGCAGCGGGGGATAGGGAACAGAAAACCAGCTGTCAGCGACAGCGAGGTGGTGCCCCAGAGAGGGCTGCCTCATTCGCCTGGCTGCAGGGTCCGAGGTCGTCTTGGTAGCATTTGGCAGGAATTTATTTAGGAAGCATTCAGCAAACCGAGTGTGTGTGGTGCTGGGAGATGACGACGAAATGGCCCTGCCCCCAAGGAAGCCCCTCCCCTGGGGGCACAGGTGGGGAGGGAGGTCATGAGCTTTGTGTGTGTGACAACTGCTGATGGGAATGCTATTGGCACGTACGAGGGGTGCCTGTCCGTGTCTTGGGAGAGCAAGGAAGGCTTCCCGGAGGAGTTGCTGCCAAGTTGGCCCAGAAGGATGAGGAGGAGTTCTTCTGGTGAAGTGGGGAGGGCAGAGGCAGGATGGTCCCTACGGAGCATGTGGGGACGCTCGTGTTCTTCCAGAGGATGGAATGCTGGGCCCGAAGCCTGAAGTATTGTTAGGGTAGAGACAGGCGGGAGGTGCGTGGAGAAGGGGTCATGGAGGTCTTGTTGGGCAGATGGCGGTGGGACGTCCCAGGCAGGGGGAGCATCTTGGGCAAGAGCCCAGGGTGCGAGGTCATGCTTATGGCACATTGGACCAGCTGGAGGACAGCCAGCTCAGGAGAGCAGCCGGCTGGGGTGTCTGCCCACGTGTGGGGCAGGGATGGGCTGCAGCGGGGAGGGATTTGGGAGCTTCTGTCGTAGTCCTGCAGGGAGTGGGAGCTGTGCAAGAAGGAAGGGCGGAGCGGCTGTGATCCAATGACTTTGGGAAGGCCACTCCTGTGATGGAGTGGGGGAAGACAGACCCCAGGCCAGGGGTCCTGAGTCAAGGCAGTGGCTGAGGAGGCACTGGGGAAGGTGATTTGGAGAGGCTTTGGGGGTAGGTCCTGGGGGTCTGGAAGGGCTCTAGGCCAGGAATTTTCAGACTCCTGGGGGCATCAGAATCACCTGGAGGGCTTGTTAAAGCAAAGCTTGCCCCCAGCCTCAGGCAGCTGGGCGGCAGGAATCTGCATGTCTAACAGGCTCCCAGGGGATGCTGACTTGCTGGCCAGGGTCCCACACTTTGAGAAGCCCCGCCTGAAGCTTACAGGACAGGGCAGGTTCTTGAGCCATTGAGTTGGGCAATGCCATGGGAAGTTGCAGGTGCACAGACGTTGCCTTCCTGGCTGCGGTTGAACCTGGGCTCCATTTGTCCCCTTGGAGCTCCAGGCGGCCGGGCCGACTTCGACCCTGAGCTCTCCTGTCTGATTTCCTTTCCAGGTGGCACGTCTCTGAGCTTCCTGGTGTTGGTGACAGGCTGCACATCTGTGGGCAGAATTCCAGATGCTGAAATCTACAAAATCACTGCCACTGACTTTTACCCTCTTCAGGAAGAGGCCAAGGAGGAGGAACGCCTCATAGCTTTGAAGAAAATCCTCAGCTCGGGGGTGTTCTATTTCTCATGGCCAAACGATGGGTCTCGCTTTGACCTGACTGTCCGCACGCAGAAGCAGGGGGATGACAGCTCTGAATGGGGGAACTCCTTCTTCTGGTGAGGCCCTGGGTCCCCTGCAGAGGGTGGGCCCTGGGTCTCCTGCAGAGGGTGGGCCCTGGTTGGCATCTGAGGCCTTGACCTCCACTTGCACCACCCCCGGGTTATGGGGCACCTCTGGAGAGTTAGGACCCAGGCCTGCTCTCAGCACAATGAGAGGAAAACTAACCCTGAACTCCCTGCCACCCCCCACCCCTGGCCCCTGGAATGTGTTCAGTGTAGATTTGGAAAAGAAACCTGCGCCAGGCATGGTGCCTCATGCCTGTAATCCCAGCACTTTGGGAGGCTGAGGCAGGTGGATCACTTGAGTTAAGGAGTTTGAGACAAGCCTGGCCAACATGGTGAAAGCCCATCTCTACTAAAAATACAAAAAAAAAAAAAAAAAAAAATTAGCTGGGCGTGGTGGCAGGTGCCTGTAATCCCAGCTACTCGGGAGGCTGAGGCAGGAGAATCGCTTAAACCCAGGAAACGGAGGTTGCTGTGAGCCAAGATGGTGCTACTACACTCCACCCTGGGTGACAGAGCAAGACTCTGTCTCAAAGAAAAAGAAAGAAAGAAAAGAAACCCTGTTCCATAAGTAAAAAACATAAGAGCCGACGTCTGCTGAGTGCTTCCTCAGTCCCGGGTGCCGAGCTCAGTGCTTCTGCCTGGATTCACTCTTTCAGTCTTCTCAATCATGGTTACCTCCAGTGTGCAGCCGTTTACCGCTGATGTTTATAAAGCACTGTGTTCGGGTCACCGTGCTAAGATCTCTCTGCTGGTAATAACTCATCATTATTATAAAAACCTTTATAATAATTATGCGGAGGCTCTGTTACCCCATTTTACAGGTAGAGAGACTGAGGCACGAATAGTCGAGGGAATTTTGCCAAACTCCACACACTTACTAAGTGGCAGAGCCAGGATTTGAACCCAGGCTTTCTGGGTCCAGGTCCCAAGCTGGTAATCACAGTGCTAAACCAGTCCCATCAATGGGGAAGCTGAGTCACCCTGCCCAAAGGGACTTGTAGCAATGCACTAAGACTAGTCCCGGAGCCCAGGCAGAGGCGGCTGGATTTCTGTATGTTTAAGATCTCCTGGTGCTTTTTCACTCCACAGCAGGACAGAGACAAGAGTGGACAACCCTGTAAATACATAAATTATCTATTGCCCTTTCTGGACATAATGCTGTTTCTGTCAGATTCGCACTGATGCCTAGAGATGCCAGGTAGAAGCAAAAGTGAGGAAAGTCCTGCCATGGGAGTCGTTCCAATGAACCTCATCTAATGTAATGTTTTAGAATCCAGTGTCTGCCTTTTGAAGCTATATCAGTTTTCCCAGCTCTGAGACGGGACTCGTGAGGTTTATTTCTGACCTGTTTGTGCCTCTCTCCCTTTGCCAGAGGCAGCCACAGGTTTTCATCTGGCCTTGGTGCTTTGGATTCCCCAGAAGTGAATTCCTGATTTCTGCCGGAAGAAGGGGACCCTCCCCACATCCCTGTGTCCATCCCAACGCTCCCCACCCCCACATCCTCTTTGGTTCTCTGGTATTGTGGATATTTGGGGGCAGTAATGTGCCCAGACTTCAAAATGCACGTGAATCAAGGCTGGGCATGGTAGCTCACGCCTGCAATCCCAGCACTTTGGGAGGCCAAGGCAGGCGGATCACCTGAGGTCAGCAGTTTGAGACCAGCCTGGCCAACATGGTGAAACCCTGTCTCTACTAAAGATACAAAGAAAATTAGCCAGGTGTGGTGGCGCACACCTGTAATCCCAGCTACATGGGAGGCTGAGGCAGAAGAATCGTTTGAACCCAGGAGGCTGAGATTGCAGTGAGCCGAGATCGCACCATTGCACTCCAGCCTGGGCTACAGGGTGAGACTCTGTCTCAAAATAAATAAATAAAATAAAATAAATAAAATCGTGAATCTCATGCTGATCTCATTAAAAATGCAGATTCTGGGATGGCAGGTCTGGGCTGGGCCCAGGATTCTGCATTTCTAATAAGCTGCCAGTGCTGCTTGTCTGCAGACGGCAGGTTGAGTAGCAGCCTCTGGGGATGGCATTTCTGTGAATCGCTGGTTACATTTTGCAGGGCCCAGCATGTGCCCCGCGAGCTGTTACATGTTCCCCTAAAGGCAGCCAAGCTTAAGCACAGAGGGGCTGTGTATTATGAGGTATCTTTGTGTGGAGTCCGTGAAACTATTTTAAACCAGAACTGTCAGGGGAGCAGAGGTGAGAGCTCTCAGCGGCAGTGAGGGTCCTTGGAACCCCTAGGGGATCCTTGGGGTATCTGAATTGCACCAGCACCTTTGCAAGTTCTCTTCCCTATGCCAGCTCTGTGGCTGGAGGTGTGAGGGGCACTAACAAAGCGAGGCAAAGGGGATTCACGAGGTGGAGGCTGAGAGGAGCTTTGGAAGGAGGAGCCCCATGGTGTCCCTTTCTGAAGGGAGAGGAGGAAGTAACTCTGGAGGTCGCCAGGCTCCTCAGCTGTAACACGCCAGGGCGTGGTGTTTAGGCTCAGGGTGGAGCCCCCAGAACTGACCACAACTGAGTCACCACGGGCAGTGTGGTTCTGGGCTTGATCGCCTGAACCCCCACTGTTGTGGCGCAGCGTGAGGTCTGGAGACCCACAGCAGGAGTCAGATGGGGTCAACGCTCAGCGTGGCTGGCACATAAGGCAGAGTGAGCAGCAGGGTGAAGTCATCTTTCTGGGCTGGTAATTGATCACACTGACAATTGCCTCCCAGTACAATCAGGTCCTGGGAGGAAACTCTTTGGGGGTCCTGGATATGAGTCATCCTCCTGCCAGAGGGCCAGGCAGTGTCACTAGAAACAGGGCTGATTTAAGGGTTGTCCACTTGGCAAAAGGTTTCTTCTCCTGAGCCCTGGTGATAGTGGCCATAGCTGTGTAGCTGGCAGACTCTGAAATATTCTGGAGGCTTTGCCTTGATGCCACATGCAGATTTCATATATGTGTTTCGGAAGCTGGCTTATCATCTGAATTTGAGAGAGTGATTTGGAAGAGGGACATGTGTTTTTGTACAGCAATGCTTCAGCAGCATTTTTCAAGCAGAGGAGCGCTGTGGCTGTGCGACCTCAGATGGGGTCAGACGCGGGCTGTGCTCCCTGTGGGGGTGCATGTGACTGTGCGACCTCAGACGGGGTCAGACGCGGGCTGTGCTCCCTGTGGGGGTGCATGTGGCTTTGGTCACAGTCGGGGAGGCTGGCCTGAGAGCAGGAAGCTTGGAGAAGCCCCCTGGGACCCATCAGAGCTCACAGCACAGATTTCCAGCAATGAGAAAATGCTGCTGCTGTCTTTGAGGAAGGCTCAAGGGCAGGAATTGTGTTGCCTTTTTTAAACAAGTAGGGCACTGTGATCTAGATTCACTCAGTGCCCTGTAAGAGGGCATCTCCTGATGATGGGTCCTCCTCCCTGAGAGTGAGTATGGGCCCTCAGGATGGTACCACTCAGGTCCCCTGGGTGCTAAAGCAAGGGGGCCAGGCCAGCTCAGGGATGAGAGAACTACGTGGTCGTTCGCAGGTGCACATGGAAACGTAGGGCCTCATGAAGAAAGGCTCGGCGTGAAGAGCGCGGGCTCCAAGCTCCATGACGCCACTGGCTGGCTCTGTGGCATTAGACAAGCACTTCACTTCTCTGTGCCTCAGCTGCTTTATCTGTGAAAGGGGGTCACTGATGATACCTTTCACATAGGGTCACTTCAAGGGTGAAATGAGTTAATCCACCCCAAAGTACTTAGAATGGGGCTTAGTGCACAGGATAAATGTTGGCTGTCACCCTGTCGTTATCATCATGGACTCTAGAGCCTACAGCAATCCACTAGGCATGGAGAGGGAATACTTGAACTTTCATTACATTTTATTTTCCTCGGATCTTTTTAAAATTTATTTTGGATTGCTTTGTAGCGCTCTCGTCATAATCATCTCATGGTGCATGTGTGTGTATATGTGGATAATTTAAATAACTGTTCCCATATTTAATATGATTTTTAATCACTTATTGATCATGATTGTTTAATAATAAAAGATGATTAATTTTTTACCAATGGGGCCTGCGATGAAAACTGTGGGGCCCACAGGGCTAACCAGAGGCCCCTTTGCGATTCCCCGAAAAGTGCACGCTGGCTCACTCTCCAGCTTTGCTTCCATTTAGCGACAGTGACGACCTGGTAGTGGCTTTGGGAAAGGACTCCCTGGCCATCCTCCTCTACGTGACACAGTGGTCCTGCTATTTGGGATCTCTTTGAAGCACATGAACTTCCCAGATCTGTACAGCCCAAGTGCAGAGTCCACTGGGGAGCAGCATGCATTCGCTGACCCGAAATGCTGCACCGTGCGCCCCCCAGTTCCTCAGCCACACTCGCTGTCCAGGCAGCATGTATTGGAGGATGTCAAGTGACTGGAATTGGTGTGGGACTGTGTTTTGCAGGAACCAGCTGTTGCACGTGCCCTTGAGGCAGCACCAGGTGAGCTGCTGTGACTGGCTGCTGAAGATCATCTGCGGGGTGGTCACCATCCGCACCGTGTATGCCTCCCACAAGCAGGCCAAGGCCTGCCTCGTCTCTCGCGTTAGCTGTGAGCGCACAGGCACTCGCTTCCACACCCGTGGCGTGAACGACGACGGCCATGTGTCCAACTTCGTGGAGACAGAGCAGGTGAGTGCCCAGGCCCATCTGTGGCACCAAATGGTTCCGAGTGGCTGCAGCTCTTGCACACGCGCTTTCCACTTGGGGCAGAAGAGGCCCTGGCATATTTGTGGTGGTCTCTGATCAGGCTTCCTCCTATAAGTGGAGAACAGCACGTGTAATTGGGCTCCACATGAAAATGTGACCTCTGGTTTGCATGGTGTATCCTTTCTGATTCACATCTCATGCAGGGAAAATGCTGCTTAGCCGAGGTATTTTTAACTAAACGGAATCAGGAATTTTTGCCTTGGTCGTGAAAGGTGGGCAGTATTCCAAGGGCAGCTGACAGATGAACAAATAGGGTTTGAAAATCCTTTTAGGACAAAAATAAGTAGATCAATACAATGGGGGGATGAAAGAAGAAACCATTATTTTTTATTCTAAATCAACTGAAGCTTCTCCTGGAAGCCAGTATTAGCACCCTAGAGTTGTGAAATCTGCGTGTTAAGCAGCCGCTCCCATCCGTTCCCCTAGAATATAGCCATCTGCTTAATTTCTCCTGGAGTTTTTTCTAAATTCTGTTCTCATTTCCAGAGATGCTGTCTTACAACTTTTAAATTTTTGCTCTAACTTGCAATCTGTAAGATAAGGCCACCATGTGGAATACAGTGGTGTAAGCCATAAGAAAGGAAAACCCCGGAAGGCACATGTATGGTACTCCTGCCAGGGCAAGCTGGGTGCCCTGTGTTTACTGAGTGAAGGCGTGGCTGTGCGTCCCCCCTCGCTGCCGCTGCTGGGAGAGGAATGCCTTATGCGGACTTTGGCCACTTTAATCCAGCAGAGGTTTGAGCACCTACCTTTACTGTGTGGGACTTTCTGCCTGCTCCAGTGTTCAGAGGGTAGATACAGAGATGAGGAGGCTGCTCTCAGAGTCCCCACTCAGAGGAACATCAGAGCAGGGGGCCCTAAGATGGGCAACAGCTGCAATTACTTGCCTGTAATTCTGCTCAGAATGTCTGCACTGTGGATATCAACGAGGCTATTATGTAAATATCTGGTTAAAAATGAGATTGCTTTTGGCATCTTCGTCATGAAGTCTTTGACTGTTCCTATGTCTAGAATGGTATTGCCTAGGTTGTCTTCCAGGGTTTTTATAGTTTTGCGTTTTACATTCAAGTCTTTAACCCATCTTGAGTTGATTTTTGTATATGGTGTAAGGAAGGGGTCCAGTTTCAGTCTTCTGCATATGGCTAGCCAGTTATCCCAGCACCGTTTATTGAATAGAGAATCCTTTTCCCATTGCTTGTTTTTGTCAGGTTGGTCAAAGATCACATGGTTGTAGGTGTACGGCCTTATTTCTGGGTTGTCTATTCTGTTTCATTGGTCTACGTATCTGTTTTTGTACCAGTGCCATGCTGCTTTGGTTACTATAGCCCTGTAGTATAGTTTGAATTCAGGTAGTGTGATGCCTCCAGCTTTGTTCTTTTTGCTTAGGATTGCCTTGGCTATTCGGGCTCTTTTTTGGTTCCATATGAATTTTAAAATAGTTTTTTCTAGTTCTATGAAGAATGTCAATGGTAGTTTAATAGGAATAGCTTTGAATCCATAAATTGCTTTGGGCATTATGTCCATTTTAATGATATTGATTCTTCTTATCCATGAGGATGGAATGTTTTTCCATTTGTGTCATCTCCAATTTCTTTGAGCAGTGTTTTGTAATTCTCATTGTAGAGATCTTTCACCTCCCTCATAAACTGTATTGCTAGGTATTTTATTCTTCTCACAGCAGTTGTGAATGGGATTGTGTTCCTGATTTGGCTCTCTGCTTGACTGTTGTTGGTGTATTGATTTTGTATTCTGAGACTTTGCCGAAGCTGTTTATCAGGTTAAGGAGATTTTGGGCTGAGACTGTGGTGTTTTCTAGATATAGAATCATGTTGATTGCAAACAGGGATAGTTTGATTCCTCTCTTCCTATTGGGATGCCCTTTATTTCTTTCTCTTGCCTGATTGCCCTGGTCAAAACTTCTAATACTATTAATATGTTAAATAGGAGTGATGAGAGAGGGCATCCTTGTCCTGTGCTGGTTTTCAGCTTTTGCCCATTCAGTATGGTGTTGGCTGTGGGTTTGTCATAAATGGCTCTTATTAGTTTGAGGATTGTGGATCTAACCAAACTAAAGAGCTTCTGCACAGCTGAAGAAACTATCAACAGAGTGAACAGACAACCTACAGAATGGGAGAAAATTTTTGCAAACTATGCATCTGACAAAGGTCTAACACCCAGCATCTATAAGGAACTTAAACAAATTTCCAAGAAAAAAAAAAAAAACATTAAAAACTGGGCAAAGGACATAAACAGACACTTTTCAAAAGAAGGCATACATGCGGCCAGCAATCATGGAAAAAAGCTTAACATCACTGATCATTAGAGAAATGAGAATCAAAGCCACAATGAGCTACCCCCTCACACAAGTCAAATGGCTATTATTTGACTTGCGTGAATATTATTTGACTTGTGTGAAATGAGATACCTCCTCACACAATAATGGCTATTGTTAAAAAGTCGAAAAATAACAGATGCTGGCAAGATTGCAGAGAAAAAGGAACGCTCATACGCTGTTGGTGGGAGTGTAAATTAGTTCCACCATTGTGGAGAACAATGTGGTGATTCCTCAGAGACCTACTCACAATAGCAAAGACATGGAATCAACCTGAATGTCCATCAGTGGTAGACTGGATAAAGAAAATGTGGTTTGTATACAGCATGGAATAGTATGCAGTCATGAAAAGGAATGAGATCGTGTCCTTTCCAGCAACACGGATGCAGCTGGAGGCCATTACCCTAAGCAGACTAAGGCAGGAGCAGAAAACCAAACACTGCATGTTCTTACTTACAAGTGGGAGCTAAATGATGAGAACACATGGATACAAAGAGGGGAACAACACACACTGGGGCCTATCAGAGGGTGGAGGATGGAGGGTAGGAGGAGGGAGAGGATCAGGAAAAATAACTAGTGGGTGCTGCTAGGCTTAATACTGGGTGACAAAATAACCTGTACAACAAACCCACATAACATGCGTTTACCTATGTAACAAACCTGCACAAGTACCCCTGAACTTAAAATAAAAGTTAAATTTTGAAAAATTTTAAAAAGGGGACAGAGAGAGAAGCTGTGGCCCCAGCTGGGTGGTTTTCTCTTTTCTGGCTGATGTCTGCATGGGGAGAGTCCCTTCCCTGCCCCACTTCATTACCACTTGCCTTTTATTTTGAACTTTTATTTAAAATACTGGTTTTGGATTTCAACCAGAATTTTAAGACTTGGGGTCTCATCTATTGCATCTCATCGAGTAAGTCCCTGGGAACCACTGTCCTTTAGCGGCACTGTCCTTCCTAAAACACCGGACATTCTAACACGGAAAATGAAAGCAAACCGCATGCATTTCCTAGGACTGCCCATAATAAAGTACCCCAAACTGGGTGGCCGAAAACAACACACTTATTCTCTCCCAGTTCTGGAGACTGGAAGTCTGCAATCCAGGTGTCGGCAGGACTGCTGTCTCTTCGAAGTCCCCCTGGGGAGAACCCTTCTGAGCCCACCTGACCGCCCCGGCTCTTGGTGGCCTCTGGCAAGCATCTCTCCATCATCTCTGCCTCCGTTTTCGTGTGGCCTTCTCTGCCTGTGTCTCTCCAGGACTCCAGTCGTACTGGATCAGGGACCCACCCTACTCCAGTTGTCCTCATCTTTTTTTTTTTTTTTTTTTTTTTGGAGACGGAGTCTCGCTCTGTCACCCAGGCTGGAGTTCAGTGGCACAATCTCGGCTCACTGCAAGCTCTGCCTCCCGGGTTCACACCATTCTCCTGCCTCAGCCTCCTGAGTAGCTGGGACTACAGGCGCCCGCCACCACGCCCGGCTAATTTTTTGTATTTTTAGTAGAGACAGGGTTTCACCGTGTTAGCCAGGATGGTCTCGATCTCCTGACCTCGTGATCTGCCCGCCTCGGCCTCCCAAAGTGCTGAGATTACAGGTGTGAGCCACTGAGCCCGGCCCAGTTGTCCTCATCTTAACCCATTACTTCTGCAAAGACCCTATTTCCAAACAAGTTCTAAAGTACTGGGAGTTGGTACTTCACCATATGGTTTTTGGAAGGGACACAGCTCACCCTGGGCCGCGGATGCTGGCTCCTGTTAGAGGACTGTGCTTTACAGGCAGCGCCTGTGGCCCTGTGAGAACTCTCGCTGCAATCTTTGCTTTCTCACTTTTACAGACCAACAAGCCCTACCACAGACCAGGCTGGGCCTTGGCTCTGGCCACTTCGTGTCGCGTGCCTGCTGACTGGCGCTTGTCTCCTGTGTTGCCAGCCTGCTTGTTAGAGCTCAGAGGCAGGGACCTTGCCCCCACATCTCCTGAATCTCCCACCTCGGGCAGCCTGGCAAGGCCATAGAGATATGAACAGCCTGCCCTTCCAGCTCCTGGGGTACAGCCCGATGCTGTTGACATTGCCTCCACCTCCCTTCCTTGTCTGGGCTGGGGAGGGATTTCTTGGCTCCCATAAGCCTTTGTGGGCTTCCTAGTGTGTGTGTTTTGTCCTTTTTCGTCCTCTGGGCTCTGGGCTAGACAGGGCTGCTCTCCATGAAGTCCCCACCCAACCTTACTCCCAGGAGCAGCAGTGATTGACAGACAGCTGGGCACCACCACCTGCCGCTCACCCACAGATGCAGCCGCTGCGGATGCTGCCCCCGCCCCACCTAGAGAGCATAACTTAACCCATGGTGACTTCGTTAACAAGAGATGCGTAGCGGGGCCCCAGGAAGGTGGCCCTACACCCACGGTAGCTCTTGGTTGGGTGCCTATGTTTCAGGCTGTGCTGATGAGCCTGGAGGTGCCTGGGCTGGCCCATCCATCGGAGACCCCGGACAGCCTGGCTACCCAGGAAGGGGAGCTGTCACTTCCCAGCGCTGAGTCCAGGGCTGTCCACGTGGGCCTTCAGCAAAGCCTGACTGAGCCTGCCAGGTCCCAGGCTCTGCTCCCAGGTGGGTGGGCATGGGGGGCAGTGGTGGTGTGATGGGGGCGCAGCAGGAGTGGGGCAGGTGAAGCTGGTCCTGCCAGGTGCTGCCGCCCTTCCAGGTGGTACTTCCGATAGGTGGTGTTCGGCTGGTGACCCCTGCCTGGAGGTCGAGGGGAAGCACAGCAGAGCCAGGGCAGGGAGAAGCGTGTGCTGCGCGCAGCCCAGGAAGGAGGGGCATGGAGCAGAAAGAAACACAGGTGAACTGGAAGAGCAGAGAGGGTTCATGCTTCCTGCACACATGGGACCAGGGCATGGGCCTGGTGGGGGGTCAGCATTCCTCCAAGCCAAAAAACACAGGTGTGACAGCCCTTTTTCTAAAACATTACAGAGGCAGCAGGAGCAGAGATGGCTGCAGGGAAGTGACTGTTCCCCAAAAGCAAGAAACTCCTGTTGCCTCACTTGTATAAGCCAAGGGAACCCCTCGCTTTCTGTCTCTGGAGTCACTGAATATTTTTGTTTATGTCACTTTATAGCAGTACTGATGCTTAGGTTGATCTAAGTTCGTTTTTAAAACACAAAACACGTCTTTAAGTGGAATGCACAGTTAGTATGCTCCTGCGAAGCGGCAGCCCCGCTGCCCTCCCTGGCTCTGCGGCCACCTGCTGAGGATGGTTCTTCTAGGATGAGTCAGGAGAGTGGAGCAAGGCTCAGCCTGCAGGTCCTTGCTGAGCTCAGGGAAGCAGCCCCGTGAGGATCGGGCTGCGTGGTCTGCAGGGGAACCTGCCTGGGACCCTGTGAGATTTACCTGTTTCAGGTGCCAGTGATCTGCTGGGATTCTGGAGAGGTCCCTCAGGGGAGCCTGGCACTTCCTACCCCCTTGAGTTTGCAAAGTCACAACTGAGGGCCTGGGTTGGGACGGTGTCATGAGCTCTCCATAAGCTTTGCTTATGGTACAGGAGCAGACTGTCTGGCGCTTCTGGAGACCTTTAACGTGCTCCTGTAGACAGTCGGGTAAACTCATTCTGGTAGCACAGCGTGGCCTCCCCCTCCACCTGACATCTGAGGAAGTGGCAGGCTCTGCATCTCGGTGGCCTCGCCCCAGGGTGCAGGGAGCAACTTTGAGGAAATTAGTGCTGAGCCTCCAGTAGGAAGGAGGACTGTGCTGGGGAGGCAGGTGAGCCCCTTGTGGTGCCGCCCGCAGGTCACACTGGCCTGGGGCCCCTGCAGAGGAAACAGGATCCACCAGCCAGGCCCGCTGACCATTTGGAAGTGGAGCGTGCACACAGGCGGCTGTGCGGTCATCGTCTGGCAAACAAATGATGGGACCGGACCAGGAGCAGACTGGCTCCCTGTGGTGGGGACTCTTGGCAGGCGGATCGGCTTCTTAGGAATTAATTCTCAGGAAGCCAGAAAAGGGGGACCCTGTGGCACCCTCTGCTTTTGCTTTGGTTTAACATGTTTCCTAGGAGGAATAATTAATCTTCTTTCTCTGAGGCAGGCTGTGTGTGTGTGTGCATGGGTTGTATGTGTACAGTGTGTGCGTGGTATGTGCATTTATGTGTTGTACATGTGTGTATGTGTCATGTGCATTGTGCATTTGTGTATACATGTGTGTGGTGTGTGCCTTGTGTTTGTTTTTCATGTGTATGTGTGCAGTGTGTGCATTTATGTGTTGTATACACACATGTGTGGGTTGTGTATGTGTTGTGTGTCTGCACGCACAGATGTTGTGTACATGTGTAGATAGCATCTCAGCCTCCTTGGGAGGAAGCCTTGAGTCTTTTTGGCTCTGCTGAGTCATAGCTGGTGGGCTTGCTCTGCAGTGCTGACTCACCACACAGAAAAACAAGACCAAAAAGTCCCCTCAGTCTATTAAAAAAAAAAAAGGATGTAAGATAAATATTTGGCTATTCAAGATAAGGCCACTGACTCATTCAGGGAGGTTAGGATGACTGCGTGTCCTCCCAGGAATGCAGACTTGGAGATAATTGGTTTGCAGACACTGTATCTGGAAGCAGAAGGTCAGCAGAAAGCCTTTCAGATAGAAGGTATATGTACCCCTGTGAGTTTTCCTGCCTCGTCGCTCTCTTTTTATGGCCATTAGGTTTCTGTTCCCACTGCTCTGGAAGCGTCACTCAGGGTCACCCTCTGGCTGCTCAGTCTGGGGTCTAGGCACTGGCCTGGCCTCATCACAGCACTGGCACGGGCCTCCGACTTTTCTTCCCGTGGCCCCACTGCTCTTCCCGGTCTCCCTCCCACCTCTTGTCTGTTCCTTCTTGAATCCCTCCTTCTTCCCACGACCCAAGCTCTCTCCGACGCCAGCAGGTGCCCGCATGCATAGTCATAGCGTCAGGGCCTCTGGGGAAGAGAAAACAGCTTCGTTTTTTGAGTGGCTACTCTGTGCTGGGACTATGCCCCCCTCATTTACCCCTCACAGCTCATCCCTTCTCCGTGCACAAGGTGACATGAACTTCATGTAGAGAGAGGGAAACTGAGGCTGAAGATGGCTAAGTAATGTGCCCAGGGCCACCCTGCTGGGCAAATGGGGGTTTGCAAAGTGGCAGTCGGACCCAGCTTGTGCTAATACCAGAGCCCACTTTCTCTCCTGCTTCCACTCTCTGTCCTGCCTCCCCACCCCAAGAGCCCTCTGTCAAAATGACATCTGTGAGGTGAGACATCACTTCTTCCACTGGTATTAAAAGTTGTTCGCCCAGAATGGAAATGTATCACTTGCATTTGATGGTCAAGTTATGCCTACTGCCTTGGGAACAAAGAAGACAGTCTTGATGATAGGACGGGGTGCAGATGTCACCTACTTCCCCTGTGGAGGACGGGGTGGAGAACTTTGGAGCTCCTTTCTTCTTGCTCCAGTGTGGGCAGGGAGGGGCATACAGAGCACTGACAGCCCTCAGTGTTTTCAGAAGCTGGTTCTGGGCAAGTCTCAGCTTGGGAGGAGCCTGATGTGATGCTGGAAGTGGCATTGTTAGCACTTGGGGCAGTCAGAGTGAAGGGAGACATTCCTCAGCCTAAATAGATCGTGGGCATTGGTTTTTGTTGTTGTTTGGTGTTTTTTGGATTTCACTCTGTTGCCCCAGCTGGAGTGTCGTGGTGCAATCATAGCTCACTGCAGCCTCATCCTCCTGGGCTCAGGTGATCTTCTTGCCTCAGCCTCCCGAATAGCTGGGACTACAGGCATACGCCACCATACCCGGCTAACTTTTTAAAAATTGTTTTGGTAGAGATGGGGGTCTCACTTTATTACCCAGGCTGGTCTCGAACTTTTGGGCTCAAGCCCGCCTCCCACCTTGGCCTCCCAAAGTGGTGGGACCGTAGGCGTGAGTCACTGCGCCCAGCCTGGATATTGTTAAACATTGTCTTTATATACAAATGTTGGTTTCTTTTCCAGGAACCTGGGCCTATGCAGGGCACACACGCCGGTCAGTTGTATGTACCTAATTTCACGGTAGCCAACTATGTCTGTAGCCGTTCAAGCAACCTGCTATTTTATTCTGTTTTGTCAGTAGAAGAATGGAGTTCAACAGCTTTGCTGGTACTCAATACCTGGAAACAGACAGCATGTTCTTAACACATGCTTTTTTCCTTTGGAGATTAAGGGATAGTATTCCAGTTTGACAATGTAGATACCAGGCTCCTGTAATTCCTGTGGCCCAGGGAAACAGTGGCTCTAATTTTCAGGTCCTCCACTGCAGAATGACTCATTCCTGTGTGATCTGAGCGTGATCTCGCCTGCATGGGAAGCTGCCCTGTAAGGGAGCAGGCCGGTGAGGAACGGAAAGGACCACAGCAGCGCCCAGGCCGCCCTGCCAGGCCAGGCTAGAGTTGCGCAGATAAAGGCCCCGCATCTGATAAGTGTCGCCGCCTGCCCCTGCTGGCGCTCAGGATCGTACTTCTTGTCCTTTTAAAACTCCCTTGCACTCCAGCGTCATTGGAGGCCTGCAGGCACACTCTGAAATAGCTGTACGTGTGGGTGGGGAGGAGATAGATGTCTTAAAGTGTACGGATCATTTGTTTCTCTGCAGGTGCTGTCACACTGGAAGCTTGTGGAAACCGTGTTGTGTGTGTTAACTGAGTGGTGTGTTTAAGAACACAGTGGGGCAGGGCCAGGACCAAGTACAAGATCAGGTTGAGTCTTGCATTGTCAAGTACGAGACTGGCTAGCACAGTCAGTGAGGTCTTTTGGCTATCACTGGTGCATTTTATTTCATTCAGTCCTTTTCTCATAGCTCTCTTCTGCTTAGCTATTTGCCAAGGCAAAAATAGAGGGCTCTAAGGAAGGTTACATTCCAGAGCACACTGACTTCTATTCATACAGGGGGTGGCGGAAGGCTGTTCCTGGGATTTTCAGGGTGACGATAAGGTTGTGCCCTAGAAGTGTGAATTCCCGGAGACCCTGGGAGGCCCCAACCCCCAGCAGACCCCCTCCTCAGAGGCTGGTCGACAGCCAGCATGCCCGCCCAGTACCTGGCGAGAGGTCAGGGCGCATTGCCGGATGGGGGAGCAGAGGACGCCGGAGTCCACCGTCCGCCCTTCATTCTGGCTGGTGTCGGGTCACAGGTGGCCGGATCCCGTTACCCAGCCCAGGACGTTCGGTTTCATTGAAGAATACCTTTCCCTTTCTGTTTCCTTGTGCCGCAGATGATTTACATGGACGATGGAGTGTCATCTTTTGTCCAGATCAGAGGCTCCGTTCCGCTGTTCTGGGAACAGCCAGGGCTTCAGGTAGGTCATGAAAAAACTTAAATGTCCCCTTGTGATGTTGTCCGCCCTGCCCTTCCCTTCAATAGCTGGGGAAGATTTCTTTTAACACGTTCGTTTCATGGCATAGTTTCCAGTCTTTTTCCTCAGCCCTGTTGTGTTGAGCTGAGCTATCAAAGTGTGCACACGTGTGTGCATATGCATGCGTGCGTGTGTGTAGAAAACACAGACACCACTTTGTTGTTTCTGGTCGTCAAGGATGCTGTGTGAAACCGCTGACTCGGGAACGGTGCTGCGGTGCCTGCTGAGTGGGTGCCGCGAAGTGAGCTTGGGTAGCACTGCCTGAGGTTAGACCCTGAGTTCGGTGTACTGAGGACGTTTCTGAGAGCCGTGACTCTCATGGAGGGCTTCAGGAAGGCTCTGTGGCTGCGTAGGTCTGGCACCCGGTGCTGCCTGTTGTGGGGCCACGTGAGACTTCCACAGCTTTCCCGTGATTTCTAAAAATACCCCTTGCCGTCCAAAGCAGGGCTCTGGTCAGTGCCAGAGAGATTTGGCATTCTTTCTCCTGGGAAGAGCACAGGGTGGGGACACATTCCAAGAACACATTTGTCATCAATGGAATGACACGCTGCCTCCTTCACCAGGGTCTCTAACAAGGTGGGTTATGGGCCGAGTGGACTGGAGGGGCCTCCCCACTAATCCCCAGTCTTCCTCCCTGTCCCGAGGGGACGTGGGTGCCTTCAGAAAGCCTCTCGGCCAGGGCCTTTGTCGCCTCTCGGCTCTTCTTACCGACAGCTCTCGTGTGACTGCATTTGGGTTGCCAGCCAGTGGCTACTGGGGCCCAGAGTGCCATCTGCCAGGTTCCAGGGGGTGTTTGACAACGCTGGACTCAGGGTCCCCAGTCCTGGGTTCAGCTTCTTAGCCTGCTCTTTGACTTGACCCTGTGCCAGGAGCAGGTGAGTCACTTGTCCCCATGGCTGTCAGCACGCTGCAGTGACAGCATTGGTGAAGTACTGGGTCAGCCTGGGCAGTGAGATGGATGAATGGAGGTCTCGTTTAGGCTCCACGCTCTGGTAGGGAGAAAAGTCTTGATTAACATTCAGTCTTTCCACTAGAAAGAGCGCACCACACTGCACGAGATAACTGACGGCCTCCGGAGAAACGCTCCTGAGGACAGCTGTGACACAGAAACTCCTCCGGAGGGCTGCCCAAAGGAGGTTTTTGGAAAAATAGCTTTATTGCAATATAACTTACACACCCATTTAAAGCCTACAACTTGGTGCTTTTACTGCATTTATGGTGTTGTGTAACCACCACTGTAATCTAATCTTAGAACACTTTGATCACCACTAACAAACTTTGTCCCCGTTAGTGGTCTCTCCCATCCCCTCCAAGTCTCCCTCATGCCAACTCGACTGTTCATCTACTGTCTTTATCTATAGATTTCCCATTCCAGACGTTCCAAAAGAGTTTTTGAAACCTGATTTTCTTTAAATATGGAGTTTTCCTTTGGAAACTTCTCGAGCTCTGTATTCAGGAGAATGAAAGAATTGATCGAATGAGTGTGGCACAAAAAGGAGACAGGGAGACCATGTTGTGTTTCATGTAAAGTTTGTAAGAAATCCAAAAATTAGGGGAATGGTCATGATGGATTCTTAGAATTTGGGAAGGACCCTTTGGAATTCATCCATTCCACCCTCTGACTCTCAGTTCAGGGGTCCTCCTTTTTTTTTTTTTTTTTTTTTTTTTTGAGATGGAGTCTCACTCTGTTGCCCAGGCTGGAGTGCAGTGGTGCAATCTCGGCTCACTGCAACATCTGCCCCCCGAGTTCAAGCCGTTCCCCTGCCTCAGCCTCCAGAGTAGCTGGGACTACAGGTGCCCACTACCACACCCAGCTAATTTTGTTGTATTTTTAGTAGAGATGGAGTTTCACCATGTTAGCCAGGCTGGTCTTGAACTCCTGACTTCAGGTGATCCACCCGCCTCAGCCTCCCAAAGTGCTGGGATTACAGGCGTGAGCCACCGCACCTAGCCAGGCCAGTTCAGGGATCCTCTTCCAGGACCTCCAAAGGGCTGTCCTCCAGGCCACAACTGGGGATGGTTCCGACTCTTGGTGAATTCCTCCTGTATTGCACTGCTGCGTCTGTCTGACTCTAGAGTGTTTTGGGGTGCGCGGGAATATGTCTGATTCTTCTCCGTGTGACTCACCCTCAGTCCTTGGAGGGAGTCTTCTGGTTCCCTCTTCTTCTTCTTGTCTTCTCTAAGGCCTCCCAACTCCTTTGGCCACCTTCCCTCCTGTTTCTAAGACTCTCAATGTTCTCATCTCCCTCATCTAAAAAATGACACTCCTTTTTGTCGTTCCCCTCTTGGATTTCATTTTGGTCTTACCTTGACCTTCGTGCTGCCTCAGATGTAGCCTGACCCGCCATGGGATGACTGTGCCTTGGTCTGTCAGGGGCCAGGAGCAGTGGACCACGAGGTCTCAGCTTTTTGGCAGCTGTTTCACCCTCTTAAATTCCTAACATTTGTGCTGCACCAAAGCCTCCATGGTTTCTTCTTTTTGTTTCTTGTTTTGTTTTGTTTTTGAGACGAAGTCTTGCTCTGTCACCCAGGCTGGAGTGCAATGGCACGACCTCGGCTCACTGCAACCTCCACTTCCTGGGTTCAAGAGATTCTCCTGCCTCAGCCTCACAAGTAGCTGGGGTTACAGGCACCCACCACCATGCCTGGCTAATTTTTTTTGTATTTTTAGTAGAGACAGGGTTTCATCACGTTGACCAGGCTGGTTTTGAACTTCTGACCTCAAGTGATCTGCCCGCTTCGGCCTCCCAAAGTGCTAGGATTACAGGCGTGAGCCATCGCGCCCGGCCTCCATGGTTTCTTCAAAACAAGCTTCAGAAGGCTTTAGTGTTCCTTAATCTTATTAAGGATTTGCTAACCTTTGGGCCTAATACCTGTGTTTAGCCTCTAAACACCACTCATCATCAAAGAGAGATGAAGTCATCTTCACAGGGGGCCGGGAGGGCAGCGGGAAGTGGTGGTCTACCGTCACCGGCTTCAACTGTCACTATCAAGCCTAAGGCTGCTTCTAGTTATTTTTCTCCACTTTGAACTTTTTCTCTTCCTTCTTCACTTAGGTTAGATGAAAAGTGCAAAGATTTTGGGGTGAGTAGCTTGCGTATTAAGCTGCAATGCTGTCCCTCCTTGACAGCTGCCGTTGGAAACCCAGGAGCCCAGCAGGATGGGGCAGGGTTGAGCAGAGGGTGGTGGATGAGGATTTGTCTGCATGTTTTCCTGGGTAATGGTACCTTCAGTACTTCCTGACTCCATTTCTAGCAGCCGTGTACCTTTAATAAATTTCATTTTTACGTGTAAATGGGCTGTGCAGTTTATAAATAGCCACATTGAAATTTTACCCTTAAAGCAAATTGCTCCCTGGTCTAGCTAGTTCGAGAATCTATTTATGATCTGTGTCTGTGGTTGACAACGTTGCTCCCCTGGTCATTGTAGAAGCTTCCCCCCACCATATGCTGTATAGACACGTGCCTTGCCAAGGTGAGTTCAGTCTGTCTTTTGAAGTTTCCTGCAACTGAACCAAACGGAGGAGGATGCCGAGTAGAGCAGACCCCTCTTGCCCTGCCTTCACCTCTTTCCTGCCAGAAACCATTCGCCAAGTTTGTGGAGTCGTGGCGCTGGATGGGCTTGTGTGTTTGTACCTTCCTTTTTTCCAAAAAGGACATGAGATGGCTTGTAGTATAACAGTTTCAAAAATAAGTGAAGAGGTCTGGATGAAGGGCAAGAGTCGAATTGGTGCCCACGATGCATGCCGTGGGTCTTGTGTGCGTGGGAAGGAACCTGACGCTTGTTCCAAGCTTCCCCGCAGCCACCACAGAAAGAACCACAGTCACAGCCAGTTTATGACAGTGACTCAGAGCACGAGCTTTGAAGCGACGCAGACCTGGGCTCAAATTCAAACTCTGGCTCCCCTGCTTTGTAACCATGTGTGTTTGAGAGGCTCTTATCTGTGCCAAGCCTTAGTTTACTTTTCTGTAAAATGGGGCTAACAATATCTACCTTATAGGGTTCTAGAGAGGATTAAAGAGCGTAATATAAGAATTTGGCTGGGCATGGGGGCTCATGCCTGTAATTCCAGCAATTTGGGAGGCCAAGGTGGACAGATCACTTGAGGTCAGGAGTTTAAGACAAGCCTGGCCAACATGGTGAAATCCCATCCCCACTAAAAATGCAAAAATTAGCTAGGCATGGTGTCAGGTTCCTGTAATCCCAGTTATTCAGGAGGCTGAGGCAGGAGAATCACTTGAACCTGGGAGGCGGAGTTTGCAGTGAGCCAAGATTGTGCCACCACACTCTAGCCTGGTCAACAGAGTGCGACTCTGTCAAAAAAAAAAAAAAAAAAAAAAAAAAAAAAACACACAGTATCTAGAATCTAAAAAGTACTCAAAATGGCAGCTGCTATTGATACTAATAGAAACAAATGATAACACCCAGGAGATAAAACCAATGGTGGCATCCGGAGAAGCATGGCTCTTGGTGCCGTGAGCACTGAATGAGAGTTTCCTCCTGTCTTTGTGGGAACAGGGACACCGTGAGATGTAGTAACATGAAGACAGCTTCCTGGTCAGTCTTATCTCTCATCCCTCATAGACTCATCGTAAATCAGTAACCCCAGATGAAGCCATTTATTCATCCCAAACATTCACTGAGCGTCTGCCAGGTGTAGGGGGCACCAGGGATCAGATACAGTCCCTACCTTCAGGGAGCAGGGGGCAGGACAGGGCAGTGTTGTGTGGACAGAGCCGTGTTGGAGGAAGGGAGAGGCCCCGGGGGCAGCTCTCCCAGGCTGAGGGTGTGGGGTGGGCTGCCCAAGGGTCCAGACTGGGGAGGGGTGAGGAAGAAGCACTCAGGCAAGGAAGGCAGCCCTTGCAGAGGGAACAATGGGTGCAGGTGTTGTAACCCTTGGGTTCACAGTGATCAGGGAGCATCACTGGGTAGCTTCTTGAAGTCCTGGGCATGAAGGGAATGGGAGGAGAGATAGGAGAGGTGAGCAGGGCTGGGTCAAGGGCCTGTGGATGCTACACTGAGGAGTTTGCATCCCATACCAGCAGCTACTCAAGCAGTACTCCCCAACCTTGCTGCACAGAAGACTCTGCTGGGGAGCTTGAAAAATCCTGATACCCAGGTTGATACCATACACATTAAGTCACAATATCTGGGGCCGGGAGCCAGGCAGCTGTCCTTTTTGAAGACCCATGGGTGACTCCAGCATGCAGAAAAGTATGGGAACCACTCGGTGCTGTGCTGGCAAGCCAGTTTTATTGGGGTCAGACTGGGTGCAGGGAGCTTTGGTTTGTAGCATTTGTCCATTGCTGTGGTGTAAATTCTCCCATCGTGGCCACTTTCAACCTACGGCTCCACATCACTGAGCTCAGAGTTGGGACCAGCTGGGTGCACCGTCGGCTTGCAAGCCTGCAGGAGCTGGCTCCAGCACACACTGGACACTGCTAAAGGGCTGCAAGAGGTAGAGACACAATTAGACAGAAGTCTAGGCAGTGTTAGTTTGGAGGGGAAAGACACCAGATGGGAGGCCGTTGAGCTGAGATTTTTGGGTAACCTTAAGTCTGGTAGGAGTGGTGGGGTGCAGGGGAGAGGTGTGGAGGTGCTGTCTGCGATCCTTGGGCCTCTTGAGTGCTGATCGAGACTCTGCTGTGACTTCCACAGCCAGGAGTTCTCCAGACCCCGACTATCCTCATGGCTGTCTACCTAACCTCAGTCTCTGGTCTATAGGATTGAACTAATGACTTTAGGGGCCAGATAAGAGTAGCTGGCCCTTTGCCCAGAGGGGAGGAGGACGGGGTGGAGGAGAAGGGAAGCTACAAAATGCAGTGACAGTGGTGGACCCTGCCCTCAGCTGCAGCTCGTGCCTGTGGCTTCTGACACCCAGTGACCTCAGGACTAGGTGACACCAGAGAAGGTGGATGCTGGTCAGTGTTGGAGCAGGACAGAGGGGAGGAAGGATATGAGGCCCAAGGAACCCAGACAAAAGGGATGCACGGGGTGACGGAGGAAGGGTGAGCTCCGGAGAGAACATGAGGCCCAGCTCCCCTCCACTTTTGCCCAAGGCCTCACTGTGTTGCCTTTCCACCTGCCTAAAAGAAGCAGCTTAGGGTCATGACTCAGGGAGAGGCGGTTAGACAAGTCCAATAATACAACTTGTTTAGGGGATGGAGGGACCCAGCCTGAGGCCCTGAGCCCAGGGAAGCAGCTGTGGCAAGCTGAGCCTGGTCATGGTGTCCCTGAGGCTCTGCAGGTATGGACATGCCTCTGCTGGTATGCATGCAGCTCTGCAGGTGGGGACACGGCTCTGCAGGTGGGGACATGGCTCTGCAGGTATGCACGTGGCTCTGCAGGTGGGGACACGGCTCTGCAGGTGTCGACATGCCTCTGCTGGTATGCACGCAGCTCTGCAGGTGGGGACATGGCTCTGCAGGTATGCCTGCGGCTCTGCAGGTATGCATGTGGCTCTGCAGGTATGCATGCAGCTCTGCAGGTGGGGACATGCCTCTACCAGTATGCACGTGGCTCTGCAGGTGTGCACCCGGCTCTGCAGGTATGGACACAGCTCTGCAGGTGTGGACAGGGCTCTGCAGGTGTGCATGCAGCTCTACAGGTGTGGATGCACCTCTGCAGGTATGCACATGGCCCCTGGAGCTGTCTTCCCTGCTGTACCTTCTACCCCTTCATGGGCATTTGTAACCTAAGCCAAAAGGGAACATAACAAGTCCAGAAATAAGTCAAAACCAGAACCACTCAAACTTCAGCGTGTGTGCATAGGAATCTCCTGGAGGGCTTGTTAAAACACAGATTCCTGGCCCCACCCCTGGAGAGTCTGGCTCAGCAGATCTGGGGTAGGCCCAGGACTTCGCATTTCTAACAAGCACCCAGAGGAGGTCCAACGACCACACTTTGAGAATCACTGGTCTAGACTTAACAGATCCCTTCTGCCCATTCCCTGCTCTGGTCATTCACCCGGGGGTGGTGCTCCCGACTGACTTCTTAGTTCTCTGAGGTAGAAAGGTTTGTTGTCAGCAGTGATACTGGACTAGCCACTGCAGGGGATATTGACCATGCCTGTGACAGTTGGGCCCAGCCCTGTCCACACGGAATGCTTGTCTAAGTCCAGGATAAAAGACAAGCCTGAGGCCTCAGAAAAGATGTGCTGCAGCCCCTGTCCGGGCTGTGCCTTCTGCTGTGGGCAGCTGATTCCAGGGCATGCCGTCTGCTTGCCACATTCCCTGAGTCCTCACTGATGTGGTTGAGGGGACCCCATCAAAGGCAGGTGCCTCATTTCACTCTGCTTTGCTGCCTGTTCCCTGGACTCAAGGGCATAGTTTCTGTCAAATTAATTTGCGCTTGTGCAGGTTTGTTAGAAACTTTGAAGTGCTTCTGGGTCTTTCCATGGGGGTTCTGGTTAGGTGTCATCACCCAGGCCAGGGGATTCAGCGTCTCCCATCCCTTTCCCACCTTTCCATGACACCCAATGGCATGTTGACTCGGAGGGCGCTCAGTAACTGAGGAATGGACTGCTGACTGATAGTGCAGTTTATATGTTAACGGGGGAGCTATAGAGCCTGGGGATTGGAGCCTGCTAGGTCCAGTCATCTGTGCAACAGTTTCTACCTAATTAAAAGAAGAGGCTTTGGGTTATGACTCAGGGAGAGACAGTTAGACATGTCCAGTAATAGAACTTGTCACGACGGAGAGCCAGGCTCCTCAGCCCTGGCCTGCCAAGCTTGTATTCTCTTCTTACTGTGCTCCCATGGGGAATGATCCTATAAACAGCTGCTGCTCATTGCTGAAGCCAGGGGAGACTTCTTGTGATGACTGACAGACCACACAGAGCAGGTAGCCCCTCTCTTGGGTTTTAGCCCTGGTGACCTCTCATAGGGTGGCTGAGGGGTACACAGACCCGCTGACTTCCCTCAGGGTGCAGGATGGAGCAGGCCTCTCGGTAGTGCGACCATGAAAGTTTTCAAATTTTCTGAGATTTCCTCAGCCAGGTGTTGATGGCCATGGGGATAAAGGACAGAGGTAACACAGGCAGCAAAAAAATAAAAAAAAACCCCACAGGTTTGGGGTGAGCCTTTCTTAGGAGCTCCATTAGCCAACAGCCAAGATACCTCATTTTGCACTCACTTCACTTGTGACCAAAGTGTCTTAGGACCAAAAGGGATTTGGGACTTTGTTGAACTGTTTATATAAAAAAAACCTGGCTGGGCACAATGGCTCAAGCCTGTAATCTCAGTACTTTGAGAGGCCGAGGTGGGTGGATCACTTGAGCCCGGGAGTTCAAGACCAACGTGGGCAGCATGGCGAAACCCCATCTCTACAAAAAATACAAAAAAAAAAAAAAATAGCCAGGTGTTGTAGTGTACACTTGTAGTCCCGGCAACTTGGGAGGCTGAGGTGGGAGGATCATTTGAACCTGGGAGGTTGAGGCTGCAGTGAGCCGTGATTGCACCTCTGCACTCCAGCCTGGGCAACAGAGTAAGACCCTGTCTCAAAGAAAAAAAAAAGAAGAAGAAGAATAAGAAGAAAAGAAAAGGAAACCTTCTCCAAGGAATCTCTAAATCTATTGCTGAGAAACCAGTTCTCTAGATGGGTGCTTTTCTTGAGTCTGAGATGGGGCAGTTGTATCACCTGCAGTGTTGAGTTATACAATGATACATGAAGCATGATAATAGCTGCATCTCATAACATAGATAAATCTGCTGACACTACTTTTACAACACTCAAACAGAAGCAAAACTAAAGAGTGCATTTTTAACTACTTATTCTTGAAATAATTTCAGACCTACAGAAAAAATTTAAGAACAAGAGGGAACTCCCATATGTCCTTCACCCAGATTCACTAAATTTTAACCTTTTGCCACACACGTTATTATTTTTTGAACCGTTTGAAAGTAGGTTGCATATATCACATTGGTGTTAGTCCATTTGCCTTGCTGTAAAGGAATACCTGAGGCTGGGTAATTTATAAAGGAAAGAGGTTTATTTGGCTCATGGTAATGCAGGCTATACAGGAAGCATGGTGCCAGCATCTGCTTCTGGGGAGGGTCTCAGGAAGCTTACAGTCATGGTGGAAGAGGAAGGGGAGCCAGTGTGTCATATGACGAGGGAGGGAGCAAGGAGAGGGAGGTTGCAGGTTCCTTTAAACAACTAGCTCTCCTGTGAACCAGCAAGAACTCATTCATTACCATGGGGTTGTCACCAAGCTATTAATGAGGGATCTGTCCATATGATCCAAACACCTCCCACCAGGCCCCACCTCCAACACTGGAGGTCACGTTTTAACGTGAGATTTGGAAGGGACACACATCCAAACCATGTCAGTGTCTCTTTACTTAAGTGCAAAATATACTCTCCTACATATAGTATAGGTACACATTTGGGAAATTTAACATTGACAAAGTACTTCAATCTCATCTGCAGGCAATATTCCAAATTGATCACTTGTCTCAGTGATGTCCTTTGAAGCACCTTTTCCCGCCTTGAGTCCAGCATCACATACTGCATTTTGTGGTCATGTCTCTAGTCTTTAATCTGCATCTGTTCCTCGGCTTTCTGTCTTTCAAAACATTGATGTTTTTGGAGAATGCAAGCCTTCTTTTCCGTTAAGTCGAGGGTCCCTACATTTACATTTTCCTAGTGTTTCATTATAATCACATTCAGTGTATGGATCCCTGACCAGAATGCTACCTACATGATGCTGTATCCTTCTCAGGGTACCAGATCTGGAGGCACACGGTGTCCATCTGCCACTCATTAGTGATGTTAATTTTGGTCACCCAGTCAAGGTGCTATTCAGTTTCTCCACTTACGGTTAATATGTTTTCCCTTCCAACTAATCAGCAATCTATGGGAGACACTTTGAGACCATGCTGGTATCCTGCCTTTTACTAAACTTTCCCTTAAGATTTATCATCAACAGATAATTTTTGCTGAACAATTATTTACTATGACAGTTGTAAAATGATGATTTTTAAATGATTTCCTCCAAATTTATTACTTGGTATTCTACTATAGAGCCCTCTCTTGTTCCCCATTCACCCACCTACACACCCACCCACCTGCACACTGATTCACCCATCTGTCACCCATTAACCCATCCATTCATCCACTCATTCACCCACCCACCTGCTTATCCACTCATCGTCCACCTATCTACCCACCCATCCACCTATCCACCTACTTGTCTACCCACCATCCACCCATCCCTCTATCCAGCCAGTCATCCATCCATCCATCCAGTCATCCACCCATCCAGCCATCCAGCCATCAATCCACCCAGCCATCCACCCATCCATGCACCCACCCATCCACCCACCCACTCACCCACTTACCTATCCATCCATCTTTCATCTACCCATTCACCCACCCATCCATCCATCCTCACATTCACCTGTCCATCCATCCACCCACCTATCCATCTACTGATGCATCCACTGATCCATCCATCCACCCACCCATTCTCTTATCCACCTTTCTATCCATCCACTGATCCATCCATCCACCCACCCATCCATCCATCCCCATTCACCCATCCATCTATCCATTCAGTCGCCCATCTATTCACCCATCCATCCATCCCCCCATTCATCCATCCACCCATTATCCATCCATTCAGCCATCCACCCATCCATTCACCCATTCATCTATCCATCCACTCACCCACCCACCTACCCATCCACCCATCTATCCATCCACTCAGCTATCCATCCATCCATCCATCCATCCATCCACTCAGCTATTCATCCATCCACCCACCCATCCATCCACTCAGCTATTCATTCATCCATCCATCCACCCACCTACCCATCCACCCAGCTATTCATCCATCCATCCATCCATCCATCTATTCACCCATCTAGTTATCATCAGTATAGATTCATGAATTTCTATTTTATTCATCAGGTTAAAATCCATTACTGTCCTCATACAGTTTGATGTTCAGATTGTCCCAGATTTGGCCAGCAAAAGCCCCTTTAAGCTGACTCCAGCAACAATATGTATTTTAAATGTATTTTCTAAAACTAAGTTGAGTATTAAATAAATAGTTCTATTAATAATAAGGCAAATTTGATCATTAGGATGACTCAGATTTTAGGGGGAAATTAGTGTCCCTGAAGGCATAAAGGAGACTGAGAAGCAGTTTCTGTCTCCACAGTTGGCTTCACTGACCTCTGTGCTATCAGAGAGCTTAGGATCTGACATCTGCCTCATCATCTTACCCTGGATCTGCTTTCTGTGGAAGAATTGCAGCAGACATGGTCATGTTGCAGTTAGGACTGGGCAGCAGCAAAGCCAGACTCGAGGCACCTAGACCTGAGTTTGGAGCACTGTTAGCTGAATCCAGAGAGCTCAGCCTTCCTGAGCCCTGAAGAGACCACAGAGGTGGCCTAGTGGGTGCCACATGCAGCCTGGCTGGGAGTAAGAAGGAGAATGGGAAAAACCATGGCCTCCTTGGTTTGCAGAGAAGGAAGAATCACTGTTGTTACTTCTCTTTGCTTTAGGTTGGCTCCCATCATCTGAGACTCCACAGAGGCCTGGAAGCCAATGCCCCTGCTTTCGACAGGTAGGGATTGTCTGACACCATCCAAGCCTGTCATTGTCATCCTTAGACATCGTCCTCCCATCAGACACAAGGGAGAGGGTGCGACGGGAAAGGGAGGACCCTGAACCCTGAATCTAAAGCTGCTTTCCCTTTGGTCCTTTATGCAAGAAGGGAGATGACAAAATGGGATTTTTACTTTGTTCTCAGGTTTCCTGAAGGTAAATTAATGAATGTTCAGGTAGCACTTTATAATTATTTTATCTTACCAGTTTCTTGCAATGAGGCTTCATCTCTATGCCCTGGTTAATAAGGGATCATCTAAATTATAGGGTATTTGAAGCTGTTTGTTTTTTGTTTTAAAATAGTATAGAATAAATAAGTATAGAAAAGTATAAAGTGAAAAATAAAAGTACCCTAACTCCCAGTTACCACTCTCAGAGATTTTACTATTAGTAGTTTTTTACATGTCATTCTAGAAAACAATTTTGGCATTTTATGTGTGTGTGTGTGTGTGTGTGTGTGTGTGTGTATTTAAATACACAAATTGGATCATAACACATTTACTGTTTTGCAGCTTGCTTAAGAAAAGCAGAGCTATTTGTAATATGTATTTGAAATAATAACTTCTTAAAAGATTTGCTTATTTAATCTAAATACTCAATATTTTAAAATTGTCTTAGTGAATATAGTAAAAATTCTCGAAAGTAATGTGTTAAGTGTTTGAGTCCTTCTACCTGAAGCTTTATTGAGACTTTAAGTTTGCTTTCATACTCTTGTTAAACATAACACTTGTCATATGAGCCCAGATGTGACCCCCTGATTAGTGTGTGACATGTAATGCGCTTTTCTTTAAAGAGATATTTAATCAAGTATAGACAAGACCATTGCCTTTTCCAAAGCATTATTAGTATGTCCTGAGCATTCTACATGCGGAGTTCTTTCAGTTGACATTCATCTATACTAAATTGTCTTAGGAAATAGTGAACATGAAACCAAAAATGAAATTCTACCTGGCTGAGCTTGGTGGCTCAGATTTTAGGGAGTCGCCTGGGTGACAGAGCGAGACTCCATCTCAAAACAAAACAAACAAAAAACAAAAATATTCTACCCGAAGCTGACCCAAAACAAGAGGGAAGGGTCATGCTGGGTTCGCTTCAGGAACCCTCCTATGTTTAGGAGCTTTCTTAAAAAATACATACATCTAGTTGAAGCACATTTGCATAGACTGCAGATTTTTCAGAATCCTGGTAATGCATGGTGTGTGAGATGCACGTACCACAGAGAATGAGACCTCTCTCTCCTCACAAGCACCCCAGAGGCTGCCTTGCCCCTTGGAAAGCATTCCTAAATCTAGGGGTACACTTAGATCTCTTCTGCAAATCACAGGACAAGCTGCTGAAAGGGTGAGTCTTTCTACAGGCAGCTACTGTGTCCAGGAAGTCTCTTCTGTAATGCTTCTTACCCACGACACTGGGCTGGAGGCAGGAGCCCTCCCGTTCCCTTGCAGGTGCTGCTGCTCTCATGTTCATTGCTGACTATGTTCCCCTCATTCGAGATAACGTTTGGAAATAAGGTGACATGTCTGCCTAGTGGCCGCAGTGGGGCACCATGAGGGTCCCCCTGAAAGCAGGCTGCCCAGGTCCTCGATGGTGTCCCTGGACTGGCATGTGCATTGTCCTGGGTGCTTCCCAATTCTCTTCTCTGGGACATCACTGCGCTCTCAAGAGTCGTGCGGTTCTCTGATGGATTTGGTTGAGAGTAAATCCTTTCTTTCCCCCGCAAAACCTTCACACAGATAGTTTTTCTTCCCAGAGGATGCTTGTTTTCCTTTGCCTGAGCTGCATGGGTGCCCCTGTTAGCCGAGGCGGTCTCTTGTCACTTTGCTGTATGTGCTCCATATCTGAGGAGGGCTGTTTGCAGCAGGACTTTGGCTGCAGCTGCTTGAGTGGGGTCTTGTCATCTCTGTGTGGTGATGAGTCTCGGTGGAAGGGCTAACCTTTCACAGGGCGGTGCCTCAGTCTCTCCTCACAGGACAGTGAACCCCTTCTCCTTCCCCGCCCCGCTCTGCGGGCGGCTGCTGTGCACATCAGGGTGTGCTGAACTCTTGGTCCCTCCCTGAAGATGAGAAGGATGCTTCCAAATAGAAATCTGATTCCTCAGTATCCCGAAAAACTCCTGTTTTCCAAGTAGCTTCCTATGACAGTAACCCGTAGGCAGGGGAAGTGAAAAAAAGGCCTCAATGCTCAGGGTGACCCAGGAAGAAGCCCGTATGATGCCGACCTTGCTGCTGGTGCCAGCGTCCCCTTACACCCTGGGTGCCAGCGCTCCCTTACGCCCTGGGTGCCAGCGTCCCCTTACCTGGGTCGGCAGGGCCTCTCAGCTCACCAATAACGAGCATTTTACAATAAAGGGAAAGAAAGAGGAACCACGTCCCACACACCAAGCACTGTCCTTGTCACTTTCACTCGTCTTTTTAGTCCTCCTCGCCATTCTCCGCAGGAGGGGAAGTAGCCCTGCTTTATAGATGAAGGAGCCAGCTCAGAAGGGATGAATCATTTGATCAGGGGAGTTTGGGGTTGGGACAGCATAGAGTAATGATGAGGAATAGTGAGTAATAATGAGTAATAACAGTTTCCTTCTGGCCCTGGGCTTTGGAACCAGTTGAGAAGAAGGGGCAGGAATGAGACAGGAAGAGATCAGAAATGGGCCTTGTTTCCGATGAGCCACATTGTGGGATGTGGCTTGGATGTGTGGCCACGGTGGGCTCCCTCACCAGGGGCAGAGCCTGCACGTGTCAGAGCCAGGCCTGGGATGCACCTTCTCTGGGCAGACCGACCCAAAAGAAAGCCCACAAGGGCTGAAGCCACACACAGCCCGCCCCAGGGCTGCCTGGAGCTGCACGTGGAGACGGGAGCCCGGGAGGGTGCTCACCCTTAACTTAGGCCAGGGAGTCAGCAGGCAAGCCTAACTTCAAACTACCCACTTCAAAATCCATAGTCTTTCTACTACTGTCCCTTAAAGTTAGTAAGAGAATGTTTTCTCTTACTGCATAAGAAAAAAAATGATTTTTTTCATGATCATTATTAGCTCTTTAAAAAATTCCGCTCATAAACGTGTCATTACAGAAATTTGGAAAAGAGAAAGATGTTTAAAGAAGAAAAGAACTTGAATCATATAAAATTCTACCACTTTTGACATCATGTGTTTTTTTCCAGTGTTTTTTCTATATTTAGGCATAAAGATTGCACCATTAAACGATAATTTGACATCTGCTTTTTGCATTGTATCATTTCCCTATGTTTTGTTTAAGGCACTACATTTCAACATGTTTAAATTTGAAATGTAAGGTTACTTTTAAAAAGCTGGTGATCAAGAATAAATATTGGAATCTCTCCCTAATATTTCAACATACATATTTAGAAAGTAGCTTCCAATACAAGGAATGTTTTCCAAAGCCTGCAAGTTTTGTTGTATCTCCTTGTTGTGGTTTAGCATAATGCAATATAGCACTTAGATTGAAAACAGGATGCTGAGTTGAGAGCTCTCCTGCCAGTTGTTCTAGTTTTGAGAAGGGTGGGTACCAAGCAAAATAAGAGATTCATTTCACACATGTGCACATTGCATGTGTAAGACTCTAGCCCAGGCACGGTGGCTTATGCCTGTAATCCCAACACTTTGGGACGCTGAGGTGGGAAGATTGCTTGAAGCCAGGAGTTCGAGACCAGCCTGGACAACATAGCAAGACCCTGTCTCTATGAAAAATAAATAAGTAAAAATTAGCCAGATGTGGTGGCATGTACCTGTAGTCCCTATTACTTGAGAGGCTGAGTTGGGAGGATTGCTTGAGCCCAGGAGTTTGAGGCAGCAGTGAGCTATGATCGTGCCACTGCACTCTAGCCTGGACAACAGACTGAGATCCTGTCTCAAAAACAAAATTCTCTTGATGAAAGTTCAGGTTAGGTGTTCTAGATATAATGGGAGGTGCTTTATAGAAAGTGCAGCATATCCTTTGTCTGATTCCAAACAAATGTAGAAGTCTACGCTAGCTAGTAGTAATGGCAGCTGGGAGGTGCAGGTTCTCTCCACCCAGGCTCATTTTCCACGATTTGGGTCATGGGGGACAGCTGGTCCTGGACTGTGGCACTAAGAAAGCATGACTCCTGCCCCGTCTTCCCTTGAGGGGCAGAACAGGGCAGAGTCTGCACCTGTGCCCGTGCCCAGCATCACGCCCACCCCGCTGCCTTTGCAGGCACATGGTGCTTCTGAAGGAGCAGTACGGGCAGCAGGTGGTCGTGAACCTTCTGGGAAGCAGAGGCGGAGAGGAGGTGCTCAACAGAGCCTTCAAGGTAAGGCCAGGCTGTCCTCTCCACAGCTGGGCTGGGCGGCAGGTGGCCATGGTGGAGCGTTGAGCCTGGAGGTGGCTCCTGCAGGGACTGGAGCTGACAGCCCAGCCCTCCTTCGTTTCCTGAGGCTTCCCCAGCATTCCGACCAGTGAACACGGCAGTGCTCAGTGACTCGGGCCCTGATACAGTGAGTGTAATTTCTTTTCTTTTTTTTTTTTTTTAAGACAGAGTTTGGCTCTTGTCGCTCAGGCTGGAGTGCAGTGGTGCAATCTCAGCTCACTGCAACCTCTGCCTCCCAGGTACAAGCGATTCTCCTCCCTCAGCCTCCCAAGTAGCTGGGATTACAGGCACTTGCCACCACGCCTGGCTAATTTTTGTATTTTTAGTAGAGACGGGGTTTCACCATGTTGTTCAGGTTGGTCAAGAACTCCTGACCTCAGGTGATCCACCCGCCTCGGCCTCCCAAAGTGCTGGGATTGCAGGCGTGAGCCACCGCGCCCGGCCTAGTGAGTGTAATTTCTGTGAGCTGATGGTTGGGAGAATTTGCTCAAAGTCAAAACAGAGCATCTCCTGTCCCCAGCCATGTGTCCCTTACCCTCCCTCCCCATGGGGCTTTGAGGGCTTCTGACCTCTCAAGGTACCCCTCTCAGTCCAGCCCAGGAGCAGGCAGGCCTCCCTTTCTGCCCTGGCTGGTCCTGGGTGAGTTCCCCCAGCCCCACAGGGCACCCGGCCTCAGGGCTCAGGAGCAGGAACTTCGGTGGCTTTCCCCTGCTTGCCGGCTGGCCTTCAAATTTCCCCCTCTTCCTCGGGCTTTCATGGCAGCTCCTGGACCTGCTGCTGCTGGGCTCCTGTGGGCTCCTTCAGACTTCCTTGGGGGGCTTTTCCTGGCGATCCTGGACAGATCCTGGGCAGGGTCACAGAGCCATGGGAGCAAGAGACTCCGCCCACCTGGCCAGGTTCCATCCCTGTGCATGGATCCCAGGCCTCCAGCCCCCGCCCCCTGCTCCCCAGGCGCAAGACGTTCCAGAATGAGCCAAGGGGGCTCCTGGTTCCTTTACCAGCCTCCATGTCCCCTGCCTAATAGAGAAAAACTCTCTCGTTGTTTAAAGCTCAAAGATATCCCTTACAGAGAGAGCTCGAAGTCGCCTCACTGGGGGTTAGGGCGATCTCTGAGCCTTTCCCTCTGCTTAGAAATGCCACATGCTCATGCTCAGAGCAGGCACTTCCTGGTTGCCAATTTTATTTGGCCAGACCTGCTTTTCCTGTTTGGTTTGTTGCTATTAGCAACGAGCTCCAGAAGTGTCTCCCTTCCCACCCATCTTGGCAGTGATGCTGGCTGCTAATTTGAAGGAAGAAGGGAAAAAGCTAAAAAATAAGAATAATAATAAGAACCCCAAGTCCTTTTCCCCTATGCCTTGAGTTGTGGCCCCTCCCATCAGTGGGTGAAGTGCCCGGCACTGGTGAGGGCGGGAGATGGCAGCCACCTCATGCGGAGAAGGGTGGGCTCCTGGCCAGGTAGGGAGGGGCACTCTAGCTGAAGACCTGGGTCATGGCCCTGCCTGGGGTGGCCCTCAGCCACCTCAGCTTGGCCCAGACCAAGGTTGGTGGCCCAGCAGCCTGCCCAGGGCCCAATGGCCATCAGTCCTGCTGGATGAAGCACTGGCTGTGGAATGCATGGCACTGAGCCACCAGGCACTGTTGGGCTCCTCCAGCTTCTTGCTCACAGCAAGACTTGCTTGATGATGGCAGCACTGCATTGATTTACACTCAGACCTATCACAGGCAGTCACGTTGAGTCAGATCAGATGACCCCCAAGTCCTTCTAGTCCTTCCAAGTCACTAGGACCTCTGGCTGGGCAGAGGCTGGACTGGCCTGACCTGAAGCCACAAGGGCATGAGTGCAGGGTGAGAGGCCTGGAAGCCGGGTGGCCTGGGTAGGCGGACAGTTTGTCCTTCATCACGGGGCTCTCTGGGGAGAAAGCCAGGGAGCTGCCAGGCCAGGGAAGCCTCATATGGAAGGGAGGGCTCTTAAGGGCATCCTGGTGCCATCAGCAGCCCCTTGACCTGCTTCCCATCTCTCCCCACCTTCACTCTGGCTCCCTGACCATCCTGAAGTAGCATCGGGATGTGGGACCCACCTGGGCCACTTCAGCTGGAGACTTGGTCTCTTCAGAGCATAACCACCAGAGGCTGGTGCGCGGCAGGATGGGGCCGGTTACTAGGGCAACGGGGAGCTGGATTATGAGCTCTGCAGCCTGCCACAGCACTGCTATCTCTGAGGGCCTGGGGCACCTGGGCCACCTGAAGAACAGAGCAGTCCTTCCTCACCTGTGCCCTCCAGAGAGCCCTGCAGGAGTATGATCTCTCCAGGAAGCCACACCTGCTCTGGCTTCTTTTGCTCAAGGGGGACCTTCTGCCCTTTCGCAGGCAAGACGCTCTTTGTGGGTTTTGTCCCCCCAGGGCCTTTGTCCTGTGCTTCCCTTTTGGGGTCAACTGCCTGGTCCACTGTGAGCTTCCAGCTAAAGCACGTCCTGCGGCGAGTCACCTTGGTTAGCCGCACGGGTCAAGCTCTGCAAGGAGCTTGCCCTCCTCGTCCTCCCTTCCCTCTGCTCCCCTCACCGCCCTCCCCTCCTCTTTTCAGAAGCTGCTCTGGGCTTCTTGCCACGCGGGCGACACGCCTATGATCAATTTTGACTTCCATCAGTTTGCCAAAGGTGGGAAGCTAGAGAAATTGGAGACCCTCTTGAGGCCACAGTTAAAGCTGCACTGGGAAGACTTCGATGTGTTCACAAAGGGGGAGAACGTCAGTCCACGGTGAGGCTCGCTGCGCACTGTGCCGCGTCTTCTGCTGGGGGGAAGCGTCAGTCCACGGTGAGGCTCGCTGCGTGCTGTGCCTTCTGCTGGGTGAGGCGGCAGAGGGGCCGTGCAGTCTAGGACATGTGCCCTATGAGGGGCAGCTTCCTTCCCTCCCCACTCAGTTACCCTTGTGGTTTCCTGGGTCATAAGCTTGGCGACGCCGGGAATCTTGGGTTCCAGCTTCTCATCTCCCTTCCCACAGTAGGAGACAGGCTTTTGAATTTCTCAAGGAGATGTTGAGTCATGGTTTTCTGGCAAAAGAAATGAACTAATAAAGGGGACTGCATTAAAACATGGAGCTCCACGCTGTGACGCAGGCCTGTGAGAGTGAGGGCCACAGTCGCGGTGGGATGGCTGGCATAGACTTAGATTGCTAGAGGAGACCAGGGTATGGACTTCCCTGTTCAGAGCAGAGGAGAAAAACGAAGTCCAGTTCCCTCAGGTCACATGCAGGGGGTCCTCATTATTTGCAGATTCCATATTGGCTTATTTACCTATTCCTTAAAACTGATTTGTAACCCCAAAATCAGTATGCAAAGCATTTTTGCTGGACAGAGTATTTAAATACTCTGGCCTCGTATTTAAACAAGTTTCCTTTTTAAGATTTAGTACCATGTTTTTCACATTTGTGGGGTCTTTGTTAGGGGCCCCCCTTTGTTCGGGGATCTCATGGTTTAGAATGGCCCCAAGCAGTGTGCCGAAGAGCTGTCTAGTACTTCTGAGCACAAGAAGGTGGTGATGTGCTTTATGGAGAAAATGCACGTTAAGATAAGCTTTGTCCCTATATGAGCTACAGTGCTGTCGGCCATGGTTCAGTGTTAATTAAGCAAATATATATATTCAATAAGGTGTCTTTATATGGAAACATACATAAAACAAGGTTGTATATTGATCAGTTGATAAAAATGTGACCAGAGGTTTGCAGGAACCTAACCCTATATTTCCCCTAGGAGCGATGGTTCTGTGTTCATGTCCAATTCAGTGTTCCTACAACTTTATAGAACATAATTGCTATAAATAACAAGGACCAGCTAAACGTAAAACGACCCAGCTGTGCAGGCTACTGAGTGTGTGTCCTGGGGTCTGCCTGCCTTTCCAGAAGTGCTGGGGATCCACTGGGATGGACACTGGGGTTTCTGGGGGGCTATTGATGAGGAGGTGAGGGGTTCCCTCTTAGAACATGTTTCCTCACACCTGTAATCCCAGCACTTTGGAAGGCTGAGGTGGGCGGATCACAAGGTCAGGAGTTCGAGACTAGCCTGGCCAATGTGGTGAAACACCGTCTGTACTAAAAATACAAAAATTAGCCGGGTGTGATGGCACGCACCTGTAGTCCCAGCTACTTGGAAGGCTGAGACAGGAGAATCGCTTGAACCTGGGAGGCGGAGGTTGCAGTGAGCCGAGATCATGCCATTGCACTCCAGCTTGGGTGACAGAGGTGAGACTCTGTCTCAAAAAAAAAAAAAAAAAAAAAAAAAAAACCATGTTTCCTTGGGAGTCAAAAGTCAGACATGGGCCTCTGTGCTATGGCCACTGCTTCTTTGAAAACAACATATAACCGTTTACATTTCTTCTTGTCCTAAGTTTTCAGAAAGGCACTTTGCGGATGAACTGTCTTGACTGCCTGGACCGAACCAACACTGTGCAGAGCTTCATCGCGCTCGAGGTGCGTCCCTGCCACAGCCTTTTCGGCCATCTGTGCCAGGTCCTGTGACTTCAGCTGGACAGGCTGGGCTGAGCACCTTTAGCGGCAAGATGAGGGTGGCATCACCAAGACAACCTTCTGACTATGGGGAAGGTGGACAGGGAGACACTGGGACATCCAGAGAGGGGTTCCCCAGGAGGCTGCTTTCTCTGTCGTAGGCACACTTTCTCACACCCTCTTGTGAAATGCATCCCAGACATGGTGGCCCAAAGGCTCCTCGGGAACAGCGGTTGTGTGTAATGATTATCGTGGATGCACCATTGGCCAAAGGCAGTGTGAGGCTGGCCGGATGAGGCTGGATTTGAAGCTGGGGAGGGAGACCTCTGTCTGCATGGCCCCAGCTGCCTGGTTGACCTCTCCTGGCTGGGGGGTCGGGGGTAGGGTCAGCACCCCCTGCTGTCCACCACTGTTTGCTCTTCAGCCTCTGGCATTGGGTGGGGCGGGGCGGGGTGCAGGGGCGTTCAAGTGTCAGGGGGTGAGAGGAGGGCTTGGGTGGACCCTATAGATAAAGTTGGGGTGAGATGTGGGAAGTCACTCTCTGCTGTGGGAACTCCTCATCCTCTGGAGGGGCACAGAGTCTTCCAGGCACAGCGTAATCCACAGGCTGCCGAATAAGGAACCTCCTGGGACAGTGGCTGCAGGGCCTCTGTGGGAGAAGCCAGTGACAGCCATCCCTTATTCCTCCCCAGGTCCTGCATCTGCAGCTCAAGACCCTGGGGCTGAGTTCAAAACCCATCGTTGACCGCTTTGTGGAGTCCTTCAAAGCCATGTGGTCTCTGAATGGCCACAGCCTGAGCAAGGTGTTCACAGGCAGCAGAGCCCTGGAAGGGAAGGCCAAGGTAGGGCCCCGCCGAGGGGGCAGGGTGGGGGCCCCAGGGACCCCCCTCACGGCCTGCGGTCTGGGCTCTCGGCAGGTGGGGAAGCTGAAGGATGGAGCCCGGTCCATGTCTCGAACCATCCAGTCCAACTTCTTCGACGGGGTGAAGCAGGAGGCCATCAAGCTGCTGCTGGTTGGGGACGTCTACGGCGAGGAGGTGGCAGACAAAGGGGGCATGCTGCTGGACAGCACGGCGCTCCTGGGTAGGGCCTGCCGCAGACAGGGCGAGGCAGGGAGGTAGGGTGCTCCCCAGCCCCACTTTCCCACCGCCTCTGTGCTATCCAGAGAGCGGGTGGCAGAGGTGCCTGGGATCTGAGCAGTGGACCATGCACCTTGCAGCTGTCACTGCCTCTCCCGGGAGCCTGCGCTTTCCTGCTGGGCCTGGGAGCTCACGCTTCCTCTGTCTCGGCTTGGACTGTGTTTCCATCCTGAGAAGCGAGAGACACCAGGCGGGCTCAGGGAGAGGCCGTGCACTCTCCTAAACGCATCGGTGCCTTTGAATGCTAACCTACTCCAGAAACTTCCTCAGCTGCCTGGGCTCTTGGGCCCTTAGCAGGTGATGTTGGCTTTGGGAGCTTCCCATGAAGTTGGCCTCCAGTTTCTCTCTTGGCCCCTGAGGACCCTGTGGAAACAGAGAAGGAGGATGCTGTCATCCCCTGGGGATGAGGGCACCTTCTGGTCTCAGCGGCAAGACATCGTGATTCCATCAATATAGGAGGTTCCTTTGGGAGCATTTTAATGGCATCTTCTTACCTGAGCCTGTAAACATATTAGGTCTCATGGAAAAGTAGGGGAAACCCAGCATTTTTCCTTATAAGAATGTACAAGTGTCGCTTTAGAAATGTCAGGTGTTTTTGAAAAATGAACTAGCCCATGCTTAAAATGGGTTCACGGCCCTTTCCACTGTCACCGTCACTGGGGGAGCTCTAATTTGGCTTCCGATAGGCACGGTGATATTTAGTTTCTACTCTGGAAACAGTGCCAGCTCTGTAAAAGGTGAACAAAGCTCCATGTTGTACAGTGAGTCTTATTTAATAGCAAGGCAGACATGAGTTAGATTTGGTTTACATCACAAGTTTAAAAGGTGGAATATATTTTGGCTATCTAGAGGATGGAGATGGTTCTGTGTAGTGACTTTTTAAAGCCTTAAGTCTGGGGCAAAACAAAACATATCAGACATGCAGGCTGGAAGGCAGAGGATGCAAAGGTGGCTGTCTGGGTTGGTAAGACACTTAAAGTTATAGTGTATATGGATGCATACACAATGAAATATGGTCAGTTACAGCATGCCCTTGCTTAAATTCCTATGCCTTGTTCTTCTACGGAGTGGACAGTGAGGACACGGCTTTTCCCTGTCGTGTCTGAGATCCCTATGGTCTGATGTCCCATGGCTTCTGGCTTCAGTTGGGGGTAGGGGTATAGACGGTGAGTTTCCAGTCTTATGTTTTCACGCCTTTATTGTAGAAATGCCATAAGGGAAGCCCCGTGGTGACCGTGGTTTTAAGCCTTTTGTCGTCTTCGTAAGGAGCATACCCTGGTTTATCTCTAGAGGCTCATGAACCATCTGTCTCTGCCAGGCAGCCTCATCTGTCTTTTTGGAGGATGCCTGAGCTTTGGAACTGCAAAGAAATGTGCCTTTTTATGCCTCCTGACAGTGACTCCCAGGATCCTGAAAGCTATGACTGAGCGTCAGTCCGAATTCACAAATTTCAAGCGGATCCGGATTGCTATGGGGACCTGGAACGTGAACGGAGGAAAGCAGTTCCGGAGCAACGTGCTCAGGACGGCGGAGCTGACAGACTGGCTGCTCGACTCGCCCCAGCTCTCGGGAGCTACCGACTCCCAGGGTGAGGGCAGTGACTTTGGGGGAGACAAAATCCAATTGCACCTAACCTGACATGTCACGCTTGACCCTTTAGTGGCCATCGTCTTGTGGAATTTCATCTTTGGTGTCTTCCCTCCTCACAATGTCTAAATAGCACCATGGCCTGACTCTCAAGAATGCTGCCTCGCAAGTAACTGACCTTTTTCCTTTCCCAGATGTTTAGAAGAGTTAGCAGATGGTGAATCTCTCTTTTCTCTTTGCATACAGTGATGGTGAAGTCTTAGGCTTTCATCAGTAGAATCTTTTCGTCACCAGTCGGAAGGTGTGGCTTCTAGGGCCATGTAACTGTGAGGTTGGGAGCCAAGCCTGTCTTCGGTGTTTTGTTTTTGTTTTTTGTTTTGTTTTGTTGTTGTTTGTTTTTTTGAGACAAGTTTCACTCTTGTCACCCAGGCTAGAGTGTAGTGACGCAATCTCGGCTCACTGCAACCTCCATCTCCAAGGTTCAAGCAGTTATCCTGCCTCAGCCTCTCGAGTAGCTGGGATTACAGGCGCCCACCACCACGCCCAGCTAATTTTTGTATTTTTAGTAGAGATGGGGTTTTGCCATGTTGGCCAGGCTGGTCTCGAACTCCTGACCTCAGGGGATCCCTCTGCCACAGCCTCCCAAAGTGCTGGGATTACAGGCATGCGCCACCGCGCCTGGCCCTGCCTTCAGTGTTGATATTGACCAAGAACAGCTCATCCCTGCCTCTCCCCAAACCAACTCTATTAATCTGCTTTAAGTAGTCACAAAATAATTCATGTGCTATTTAGGAATAAAATAATTCCAAATGTTGACACCTCACCTTTTATCTTGTAAGATACACTATTGAATGGCCCCAGAACTTAGGATCTGAAGAATAAATGATTCTTGTCCAGTCATCGTTGACTCGGGCCTTGGTTTTTTTGTTTGTTTGTTTTTTGTTTTGCTTCCTTGGACTCAGGAACTTGTGGTTCAGGTTTTTGCCTGTTGGTGAGTGACCTGTGGTCTAGCTGACATGCAGTGGCCCATGTGTACATTCATGCCCCACAGCTGCCTGGGTAGTACCCAGAGCCCCATCCCTTCCTGTGCACACGCCATCTGTGCCCTCCTTTCTGCCTCCAAGGGCAGGTGGCAGAGTCCACCATTCAGAGCCACTGGGGCTCTCTGTGTCGGTGGTAGCCTGGGTTGCTGCTTGTGGTGCCTCCAGAAGCCATTCAGGATGCCCTCCGGAGCAGGCCCATCAACGCGGAGAGTGCTTAGCACAGCCGTGGCTCAAGAGCCGTCCCTCCAGTCCCCACGAAAGTGACTCCTCTTCTTTTCCCTGCAGGAAGGTGTGCATGTTTTTAGCAAGCTGGCTGGTATTTTGCAGGGGATTTTTTTGGGGTAGACACTAGCAGGCTCCCCAGCAGTCCCACTAGAGATACACCAGGTTCCAGAGAAGGAAAGGAGTGCTGTGGTTACTATTGCCAAGCAGATCAGACAGAGGGACGGGGATTGTTTTATTTAAAAAAAAAAAAAAAAAAAGCTTTAAGTCAGGGAAACTAGAGGTTCCAGGTTGCCCATTGTGGTCAACAGAGAAGGAAGTGGACAGCCTGCCTGGCCTCTCGCTGACAGAGGCCATGTCCTCCTAGCTGGACCCTGGGGAGGTGGGCCTCTCACTTTCTGCAGCAGCTGGAGCCATGACTGGGCTTGGTGGCTCAGGAGCCTGGGTGTCAGAGGTCGTGACTGGACAGATTCAGTCAATGGCTACAAGGTTATATTAAATTCTGACCTCCCCTGTTCAAAGGGAACAGAATGGACGGAGGGCCCCTCTGGGCTCACTGCTGCATTTAAGCCAGGCATTTCTGAAGCAGATTCCACTGGGGCAGTTCCCAGCAGCAATGGTAGCCACCTGGAGTTGGACTCAGGCAGTGGACAGCATGACTCGGGAGAGGGCACTGGGGAGCCCCATGAACTCGTAATGCGGGACTTGGCGGTTCTGACTTCTGTCATCTCTTGCCTTGCTCCCCAGATGACAGCAGCCCAGCTGACATATTTGCTGTGGGGTTTGAAGAGATGGTGGAATTGAGCGCAGGGAATATTGTCAATGCCAGGTAAGGGGCCAGGTGTGCGGGGCCAGGCAGGGACTTCCTGAGTCAGGTGCCTGGCTGGGAGCAGAGCCTCTGAGGCTCTCCGGGAGCCAGCCTGCTTCTGAGCCAGCTAAGCTGTGGCCCTGGCTGTGTGGGGATCTCTCACCTGGCTCCTTCTCTATGCTCACACATGCACCACCCCGTTCTTTCCCTGCCACTTAGGAAGTAAAAGGAAGGGCTGATGATTGCTGTGTTTTCTTTGCAGTGCTCTGGCCTCGGCCACTTGTTGAGGCTAATTTATGCTGCCAGAGGGAGCTGGCATGTGTGGACCTGGGGTGCAGGGGAAGGGCGGGGCTGGGACTGGGAGAGTAGTTGACTCATGTTTCCTGGGGAGAGGTGAGAAAGTGTGAGTGCCGGGAAGAGGTACTTTCTTCCTGCACACCAGGGCAAAGGAAAAAATCAAAACCACTGGATTTTTATTTGATATGAAGTCAACTGGGCGCTCCCCCCACCCCCTGCTGAACTGGCCTGGCTTTATTTTAAGGAACTTTCTGAACAAATAAATAAGACTGACTCTGTGGGGCTGCTATGAGAAGGTCCTGGGTTGGGTTTCAGGGGTCAAGGGAGGGCTGCTGTGATGTGTGAGGCATAGCCAAAAACACGCAGATCCTCCAGTAGAAGAAGGAAAGCATGACACTAATATTGGGGTGCGGGCAGCGTGAAATCAGTTCTGCAAACAGAATAGGCTTGGGCTGGAGCATTTGGTAGGTGGGAGATAGATGTACTTCCAGCTACCTGTAAACAGCATCCTTTCCTTTTCTCTTCCAGTACTACCAACAAGAAGATGTGGGGTGAACAGCTTCAGAAAGCCATCTCACGCTCTCATAGATACATTCTGTTGACTTCGGCACAGCTGGTGGGCGTCTGTCTTTATATCTTTGTACGTCCATACCATGTCCCGTTCATCAGGTAAGAACATTCTGTTTACACACATCTGGGGAACAAGGGGTTGTTAGTCTTTGTGTTTTGTTCTTTGACTTCCCCCTCCTCCCCCATCCCCTTCTGTAACAGGAATCGGGACTTACCATTATTTTAGATAAATGTAGCAAAACCCCCTAGGAAAAACTGGGCTGAATAGAATATTGTCTAGCGATTAAAAAGCCACCATGGGAAATGTCTAACTCAGGAAGCTGAACTCTTAGAAAGGGTGTTACATGATTGTCATCGCCCAAGCTCAATTCCGTGCAAGGAAAAGGGTTCCTTGTTGGAATCTTATAGACAGGAAACCTCTGACCAAGAGCTGAGTAACTCACTGGGAAATGCCAACTCTTTTGTCCCTTTTTAAAAGAATTCTAAGTAGAACGTGTGGGCCTCTACAACTGTGACCTCATTGTCATTTCTCCAAGGTGCATGCTTTGTGAGCATCAGAAAGGGGGCGAGCTTAGGGGCGGCATTCCTCTTGGGGTGTGGGTGTGGGTGTTTGGATGCTGGAGGAACTCATCTTTTCCCCAGCTTGTGGTTGGCCTCATCTTACCACCTGGGCCTACCCATGGCTTTTGAATTTCCACCAGCCTTTCGGCGAGCTGGCAGCAGGCGTTGAACTGACCTCCCCACTGAGCCCCTGGGTCCCGGGAAGGGCCTGTGCCTGCCAAGAGCACCACGGGTACACCCCTGCAGCACCTGGAGACTAAGACTATGCTGCCCATAATCCTCTTCTCTGACTTTCAGAAGATGTTTAGGTCCCTGTCCCTCTGCTTGTGTTATTTGGGCAGCTTGGCAGTGTCCTAGGTTAGCAGGTGAAGGTTAGTAAAGGTTAAAGGCAAGGGCGGGGTGAGGGTGAGAGGTAAAGCATTTGAGAAAGGGCTCAGAGCTGAGGAGAGCCAGGTTTCCCAGGCTCGGTGTCCTCGGCTTCACGTGCCTTTAGCCCTGAGCTGCTTCCGCCTACACCCCTTCCATCAGTCATCCCCCCAACCTTGTCTGCCAGCGAGCAGATGCACCAGCAGGCCTCAGTCTGTGGCATGGCTGTGGAAATGTTAACAAATGTGCTTGCAGCCCATGTTTCTATGGACTCGTATGCGTCATAAGTGGGCATTTGAATGCAAGCAGGCTCTGGCATTGCATAAAAGTCCTTTTGAGACCATCTACCCAGCCCAGCATAAACAGCTGCCCGTTTCCTAGCTCTTAAAGTGCATTGATTGCTGGGCACGGTGTCTCACGCCTGTAATCCCAGCACTTTGGGAGGCCAAGGCAGGCAGATCACTTGAGGTGAGGAGTTTGAGACCAGCCTGGCCAACATGGTGAAACCCTGCCTCTACTAAAAATACAAAAATTAGCCGGGCGTGATGGTGGGTACCTGTAATCCCAGCTACTCAGGAGGCTGAGGCAGGAGAATTGCTTGAACCTGGGAGGCCACAGTTGCAGTGAGCTGAGATCACGCTGCTGCACTCCAGCCAGGGTGACAGAGCGAGACTCTGTCTCAAAATAACAATAATAATTTAAAAATGTGTTGATTGCCCAGATGACACCTCCCATGCATGGCGTGATGGCTGCACAGGAGTGGGGTGGGCTGGTGGGTGGTGATGTTTGCGCCGCTCCTGGTGGCAGTGAGAACCTGGGCGGATGCAGGCATTGCCCTGTCTTCGGCTTCATGGGGTGCTCAAGTGAGCACTTCCCAGTTGGGGTGTGGGGGAGATGTCCAGGCAGCGGTGGGCAGCAGGAGGGAGGCGGCCTCCTGACCAGGAGTCGATGACGGCCACGGTGGCCACTGTGTTGAGCTGATGATTTTGGAGCACTCAGAGCAGCAGGTCCCGAGCTGCTGCTGGGCCCTTCTCTGTGGCAAAGCAGGGTCACACTTCTCCTTCAGGAGCCGACGGCATGCGCGTATCCTTCTGTTCCAGGGACGTAGCCATCGACACAGTGAAGACGGGCATGGGGGGCAAGGCGGGGAACAAGGGCGCCGTCGGCATCCGCTTCCAGTTCCACAGCACCAGCTTCTGCTTCATATGTAGTCACCTGACGGCCGGGCAGTCCCAGGTGAAGGAGCGGAATGAAGACTACAAGGAGATCACCCAGAAACTCTGCTTCCCAATGGTGAGCGGCGCCGTGGGGACAGCCAGCACCTCCCTGCTCAGCTCAGTCCCAAATGTGACTGTTGATAGGAGCCAGGCACTGGGGACACAACCACAGGGAGGGCCCCTTCCTGGAGGGCTCAGCGCTGGGGGAGGGGGAGAGGGCTATGTCCCTCCATGGAATTGACCTGGGGCAGGGTTAGCCACGTGCCTGGAGGGGGCCAGCTTTGCAGCATTTCCCGTTGCTGTACAATTCCTGAGTGTCTGCATGGCCACTGGATTTGTATGTGTGCATTTTCTGATTTTCTAATTCAAGTGATGGTTTAGGGAAGAAAACCATGTCCGTGGTCTGTCCTGTCCAAGTGGTGAAGAGCATTTGAATCCACACAGCCTAAGACTCCACCTTCCTGAGATTCACAGTCTTCACATGTACTTTCTGTGGTGGCTCAGATAAGCACACCCTTTTGACCAATGGACCCTTTTTGACTGGGAACACGGTTCTTGACCAAGGAGCCCAGATCCTGCCTGTCCTCGAAGCTGCAATAGCGAACCGCACACTGCCCTCTCGTGGCGGTCCGGAGGGTTTCATTCTGAAACTGGAGGATTTTCTTTTCAAATCTAGACGTTAATGTTCTCCTTCCTGTGCAAAGATGCTACCCGGGCACAGCTTCAGCGTGTGGTGCACACGAGGCCACCTCTTTCCCGAAGTGAGGATAGACTTCAGCTGTTCTTGCTGCAAAATCTTCCACTGTCTGAGAGGTGGTGGGTTGGGTCACAGAGCTCTTCCCTGTGAGAACAGATCCTTAAAACTGACGTCCCATTTTACTGGGCTGCACGAGCACTCAAGGCAAAATTTCCTTAGTTTTCATTAAGAAGTGCCATAATTCCTGTTGGTGTTGTTTATTTCTTATGTTAAAAAAGAAACAAACGAGTTGGGAAATTTTCAATTGTGTGTAATGCAGTTTAAAAAAAAAAAAAAAGTCTAACCCTTCTCACTTAAAAATAGCTACTTTGGGGCCAGGCACAGTGGCTCACACCTGTAATCCCAGCACTTTGGGAGGCCGAGGCGGGCAGATCACCTGAGGTCAGGAGTTCGAGACCAGCCTGGCCAACGTGGTGAAACCCCACCTCTACTGAAAATACAAAAAAAATTAGCCAGGCGTGGTGGCGTGCACCTGTAATCCCAGCTACTCAGGAGGCTGAGACAGGAGAATCGCAACCCAGGAGGCAGAGGTTGCAGTGAGCTGAGATCGCACCACTACACTCCAGCCTCGGCAACAGAGCGAGACTCTGTCTAAAAAAAAAAAAAAAAAAGTGCTACTTTGACATAGTAAACTTGGGATACATAATAAGTAATTAAAGGATTTATAATGTAGTTCTTTTCTACCATAAAAATATTGAGGGACCTATTAACATTCTACACTTCTTTTTTGTTTTTGTTTTTTGAGACAGTCTCACTCTGCCACCCAGGCTGGAGTGCAGTGACATGATCTTGGCTCACTGCAAACTCCACCTCCCAGGTTCAAGCAATTCTCCTGGCTCAGCCTCCTGAGTAATTGGGATTACAGGCGTGCACCACCAGGCCCAACTAGTTTTTGTATTTTTAGTAGAGATGGGGTTTCGCCATGTTGGCCCAGCTGGTCTCGAACTCCTGACATCAAGTGATCCGCCTGCCTCAGCCTCCCAAAGTGCTGGGATTACAGGTGTGAGCCATGGTGCCTGGCCAACATTCTACACTGGTATTGTCTGATACCGTAGTCACTGGCCATAAGTAGCTATTTAAATTCAAATTAATTAAAATTAAATAACATTTAAAATTCCTTGCTTTCCCTGGCCACAGTGAGAATGATCAGTATCCATGTGGCCAGTGGCTCCTGCATCAGATGGCACAGAGAACATTTCGGTGCTGCAGAAAGTTCTGTCTGACAGTGTTATCTAGACGCTCATTTTATTTGGTTGGGACCTGTTTAATCTTCTGTCCAGATTATTGTCATGGGGGGAGTGGAAATGCCTCATATTATAGGAGAAGAGAAGCTGATTTTGGAGCTAGGCAGATGGGAGCTGAAATCCCATCTGTATCATGCACTAGCTGTGTAACCTTCAGCAAGTGCCTTTGTTTCTGAACTTTGTTTTTTTTTTTTTAATCTAAGAGAGAGCTGGTGGTATCTGCTTTGTGCACCTGGAACAGAGCCCAGCCCTTGCGGACAGTTGATCCACAGCAGCTGCTGTCATTGTCTTCCCCATTCCTGGGGAAGAGACAGGGAAGGCAAGGACCCCAGGAGCTCTCCGGGGCTGAGCTGGGGCCGTGGGCTCCTAGGACTGGGCAGGATGGGAAGGAGGAGCTAGAGAGAGATGGAGAAGGGTCACCTGAAAAAGCTCAGGAAGTTACATGAAGGTGCACATCCTGAGCATTTCTGCTGCTCTTTTGAAACCTCATTCTCCTAACGCTGAATGCTGGGTGCTGCTTCCTAGGAGTAGACACTCCAAAGTAAGGGTGCATCTGATCTTCAGGACGGGGATCCATGGAGGAAATGCTGGCCATGTTGCTCTCCTCCGTTTAGGGTAGGAGCTTTCTTCAAACCACTCAGAAACACTATTATTTAAAATTAAAAAGTAAGCCATGTAAAAATTCCTCCATAGTTTTATGGGATGAGTGAAAAACAAGATGCTCTAGTAGAAAACTTTCTTTTTTCTAAGTAGCATTTTGAGAAAAATACTCCTGCTTGCCCCAGTGAGCTTGTTTTTCTCCTCTCTCCCACCTTCCTTGCAAGATGGGCTGAATGATTATGATTTTCTTTTCAACTTAGGGGAGAAATGTTTTTTCTCATGATTATGTATTTTGGTGTGGCGATTTCAACTACCGCATTGATCTTACTTATGAAGAAGTCTTCTATTTTGTTAAACGCCAAGACTGGAAGAAACTTCTGGAATTTGATCAACTACAGCTACAGAAATCAAGTGGAAAAGTAAGTTGTGCTTTAAAAACATTTTTTAGCAGCTGCTCCAAGATGGAATGACATCTGTGAGATGTAGAGGCTGGTGCAGCAAATTCAGTTCCGTGAGTGGATTTCACTGTTTCCAACATTGTAGAAAATAGGTGGGCTTGTGAGGTTACAGTACAGGAGTGGCTGTTCATACACACTTCCTGTCCTTTTTTTTTTTTTTTTTTTTTTCCTGAGGCAGAGTCTTGTTCAGTCACCCAGGTTGGAGTGCAGTGGCACTATCTTGGCTCACTGCAACCTCCACCTTCCTGGGTTCAAGCAATTCTTGTGCCTCAGCCTCCCGAGTAGCTGCGATTACAGGCGTGTGCCGCCACACCTGGCTAATTTTTGTATTTTTAGTAGAGACGGGTTTTCACCATGTTGGCCAGGCTGGTCTCGAACTCCTGGCCTCAGGTGATCTGTGCGCCTCAGCCTCCCAAAGTGCTGGGATTACAGGCATGAGCCACCATGCCCGGTCAACCTTCTCCTCCTTCTAATACTGTTATTTTAGTGCCTGTTTGCTTCCTAGCAGGATGAGCTGAGATGAGGGGAGTACATTTAAATTCCATTTAGCTGTGGAGAAAGAAGCTGGTTAAATGTGTGAGGGCCAGGTGCGGTGGCTCTTGCCTGTAATCCCAACACTTTGGGAGGCCGAGGCGTGCGGATCACCTGAGGTCAGGAGTTCAAGACCAGCCTGGCCAACTTGGTGAAACCCCATCTCTACTAAAAATCCAAAAATTACCTGGGTATGGTGGCAGGCGCCTGTAATCCCAGCTACTCAGGAGACTGAGGCAGGAGAATCGCTTGAACCTGGGAGGCGGAAGTTGCAGTGAGCCGAGATCGCACCACTGCACTCCAGCTTGGGCAACGAGCAAAACTCCGTCTCAAAAAAAAAAAAAGTGTGAGGACAGGGCAGATAAGGTCTCTCCTGAAGCAAGATTTGGACGTTCTTCGAGGTTTACTGTGTCTTCCCACTTGAGCCCCTTCCAGTGTGTGGAGTGCTAAAGGGTTGCCACATGGACGAGTGACCATACCAACCTCCTAAAGCAGGTTTTCCTGTCTTCCTACTACCAACATTCTCACATCCTCTCAGTGATGCCCAAGAGAATGAGGGTGTGTTTGTCCCTTGGTCTTCCCATGGAAGCAAGGCCAATCCAAAGTTAAACAAAGAAAAGAAGGATGTGCATGGGGGCTCACGACTGTAAGGCGGGAGGATTGCCTAAGCCCAGGAGTTTGAGACCAGCCTGGGAAACATAGGGAGACTTTGTCTCTACAAAAACTAAAATTAGCCAGGCATGATGGTGCGTGCCTGTAGTCCCAGCTACTTGGGAGGCTGAGGCAGGAGGATCACATGAGCCCCAGAGGTTGAAGCTGTAGGGAGCCGTGATTGCACCACTGTATTCCAGCCTGAGCAAAAGAGCGAGACCCCAGGGGGAGAGAGAGAGGAGAGCTGACTTTCACTCTGCGCTTCTATGTACTTAGCTCATTTAGTCAACAAACATAGATGAAGGCCTCGGGGTTGTGGGCCAGACATGGCACCAGGCATGGGACTGTAAAGATGAGCACCCCTGACCCGTGCCTCGGACCCTGCACTGTCTCCTGGGGGGCAACAAGAAGACAGTGGATAGATCAGACACTGGAGTGGGTGGGGAGATAGATACGAGGGCGGTGTGTCCCTCAGTGGGATGAGCTGAGGATCACTTTTTTGCTAATTAAAAGACACATATGTCCAGTTTCAGATAGATTTTCAAATGTAATGGAGCTTCTGTTACTTTTTAAGAATAGGGACTTGCCTTTTCAGTTTTCGTTTTTGTATATAACATTCAGGATCGAAAACTACGGTGGCCTGATGACTTCTTTTTCTCCCAATAGATTTTTAAGGACTTTCACGAAGGAGCCATTAACTTTGGACCCACCTACAAGTATGACGTTGGCTCAGCCGCCTACGATACAAGCGACAAATGCCGCACCCCCGCCTGGACAGACAGGGTGCTGTGGTGGAGGAAGAAACATCCCTTTGATAAAACAGGTGAGGGGGCCGTGCCCGTTCGAGAGTCGGCAGAGGGTGAATAAGAAATGCGACGGAGGGAGAGTCACGTTTACCCAACCCCAGGCGCTGCTACATAAATCAGTTTCTTCATAACCCCAGATGACACAAAAGTCATCCCAGACCTTAACCCCTAAGCTTTGGAAGTTGTGCTTTCAGGGAGCCTCTGCTTCTGGCCTCTTTTTTTCCCTTTTCTTTTCTTTTTTTTTTTTGAGACAGAGTTTCACTCTTGTTGCCTAGGCTGGAGTGCAATGGCGTGATCTTGGCTCACCACAACCTCCACCTCCTGGGTTCAAGCCATTCTCCTGCCTCAGCCTCCTGAGTGCTGGGATTACAGGCATGCACCACCATGCCCAGCTAATTTTGTATTTTTAGTAGAGACGGGGTTTCTCCATGTTGGTCAGGCTGGTCTTGAACTCCCAACCTCAGGTGATCTGCCCACCTCGGCCTCCCAAAGTGCTGGGATTACAGGCATAAGCCACTGCGCCTGGCCTCCTCTGGTCTCTTTCTAGAGACAGTGACCTGCAAATAGGTCTGCTCCTGGCTGCCCCTGCATCACAGCTCCCCCCCACACCCCCACCTCTTTTTTCTGGGTGGGGAAAGCGGGGAGCATGAGGTTGCCTCCCTCCCTGCCCCCCATGCTCCCCCTCATGTTCTTTATCCAGCCTATTTTGTTCAGCTACACTTTTACCTGCTTAAAGCCCTAATTCCAAATTGGACACGAGCAAGACACAGTAAAAATAAGTTAGTTTTTAAAAATCATTAGTTGTCAAGTATGTTTTGAACAACTGTTGATGCCCAGCTAGGAAGTGAAGTTTATTTAAAGTTAGAATATCTGTAACTAGTACATAAAAAAAAAAAAAAAAAAAAAAAAAAAAACCTAATTACACATTTTGGGAGAGCATAGCCAGGAAATTGCATCTGTGAAAAGAAAATACAAATTTTCCTCTAGATGAGTTTGTGAACGCCTGTGTGGCCCCAGCGCTCTGAGAGGTGGGGCCTAGAATGAGTCCGAGTGTTCTCAGCTCCTGCAGCTCTTACCATACCAATTGCTGCCAACCTTCTGGGATTCCTGGGTCCTGGAAACCCGGCAGCAACACTGTGTCTCAAGCCTACAGTGGGCATGCTGGCGAGGACTGCAGGCATGGTCATGACTGTTTTGAATAATTATATGCGAGGAATGTTTTTAACCAAAGGCCCCAAAGCATCCGAAGCCTGGCTTCAAGGTGGAGGAGTAAGGAGGATGAGTCTGGGACGTGGGGTGGTTCGTGGCGCAGACCTCTATTGTGGAAGTGTCATGATCGCATTCTTGGATATTGACTCGATTCTATATGGGTCTCTCGAATGGAACCCCTGCGAGTAGCTGGAGAACTCAACCTTCTAGACAGTGATCTAGATGTTGACACCAAAGTCAGACACACCTGGTCTCCTGGTGCCCTGCAGTATTATGGTCGTGCGGAGCTACAAGCGTCTGATCACAGGTGAGGTCCTGACTTCCATGGCGTTTTCTCCTGTGCTGGGCAAGGCAGCGTCTCCCTCTCCGCAGGAAAATGCATGCTGTCCCCATAAGGATGTGTGTGCGCATGGGGGTGCATTTTGTGTGCATACAATACACCAAAGAACAAAGAATGATGGAACAAATATCTGTGGACCCACCACCAAGAACTAATTAATCTTAGCATTTTGTCATTGCTCCATATCATAAATGACATCATTGATGAAAATTTCAAAGATGCAACCTACGTATTTTGCGGCTTTTATATTTTCTTAAATGATGTCGTTGTGCAACTTGCTTTTTTGTTACTATTTTTGAGATACAGTCGTGTTGATGTTATAGCTCTGGTGCATTCATTTGTAACTGCTGTCTAGTATCCCACTAAATATATCCATGGAACTTACAACTTATCCATTCACCTCTTGATGAATATTTTCTCCAGGATTTTATGATTACAAACACCATAGGGTTTTTAAATCTGGGATGCACAACCTTTTTTTTTTTTTTTTTTTTGAGAGAGAGTCTTGCTCTATTGCCCAGGCTGGATGGAGTACAGTGGTGTGATCTCAGCTCACTGCAACCTCCGCTTCCCAGATTCAAGCAATTCTCCTGCCTCAGCCTCCCAAGTAGCTGGGATTACAGGTGCACACCACCATGCCTGGCTAATTTTTGTGTTTTTAGTAGAGACGGGGTTTCACCATGTTGGCCAGGCTGGTCCCAAACTCCTGACCTCAGGTGATCCACCCACCTTGGCCTCTCAAAGTGTTGGGATTACAGGCGTGAGCCACCGCACCTGGCCCTAGGATGCAGGGCTTTTTAAATGCTCTGTGCATCATGCATTGAGGATAGAGTGGAGGCAGCAGAGGGAGCACCGTGGGCACCAGCACCTGTGCCCTGGGATTGCTGCAGAGGAAGACTCACCCTGCAGAATGTCTTTAAAGACAGAGGAGAGGATGGCATTTGAGGGTGTGAAGAAGGAAGAGTTTGATCTTCCCAAGGCTGCTGCCTAAACTCTCATGTCAGTTTCAACTTTTACAAGGAAAGAAATTAAGAAAAAGAAGGTAAGAACAGTTGGTCAACGAAAAAACCTTTTTTTTTTTTTTTTGAGACAGAGTCCTCCAGGCTGGAGTGCAGTGGCACAATCTTGGCTCATTGCAACCTCCACCCCCAGGGTATAAGTGATTTTCATGTCTCAGCCTCCCAAGTAGCTGGGATTACAGGCGTGCATCACCATGCCCGGCTGATTTTTGTATTTTTAGTAGAAACGGTTTTGCCATGTTAGCCAGGCTGGTCTCCAACTCCTGGCCTCCAGTGATGTGCCCGCCTCAGCCTCCCAAAGTACTGGGATTACAGCCACCATGCCCAGACTCTTTAGATAATTCTAAATTCTTTAGATACCTGTTGTTGCAAATACATACCTAGAAGTGAATCTTGAGGAATCTTCAGATATGTGACATCAAGGTTTGCTAGCTCAATGTATTTTGAAACCTTAATTTAACCAATATTTCTTGAGGGGCCCTTACATGCCAGGCCCTGTTGCTGGCCTGGAGAAAAGCAGTGAACAAAACAGATGAGACCATGTTATCATGGAATTTTCTGGACAGGACAAACAGACAATAAACAAACATGTGTGCTATGAAAGAAAAAAAGTAGTGGCAGGAGTCAGGCCAGAGTCGAGCTATTTTCAATCAGGCTGTGTAATTTTCGTAATATAGGATTTTCTGGAAATTTATAGAGTAATAACCATCCCTGTGTCAGAATTACTATAAGGATTGCATTATTTCCTGCTGGACTGTTTTCCTGTTTACATCATTGATTTTTACATTATTCCTAATGATTGCGTAGGGTATTATATGAAGGTATCATAACTGTTTCCCCATTAAGAAACAGAGCATTTTGGCCTGGCGCAGTGGCTCACGCCTTTATCCCAGCACTTTGGGAGGCTGAGGCAGGCGGATCACCTAAAGTCAGGAGTTCAAGACCAGCCTAGCCAACACAGCAAAACCCCATCTCTACCAAAAATACAAAAATTAGCTGGTCATGGTGGCATGCGCCTGTAATCCCAGCTACTTGGGAAGCTGAGGCAGGAGAATCACTTGAGCCCGGGAGGCGGAGGTTGCAGTGGGCTGAGATCGCGCCACTGCACTCCAGCCTGGACAACAGAGGGAGACTCTGACTCAAAATAAAAAAAAAAAAAAAAACGAGCATTTCCCTTTTTTTTTTTCCCTCCCATCAACAATGCTGTAAATGATCAACCTCATGCATTAAATCTTTGTCTGAATCCCTGGTCATTTCCTTAGAATAAAGTCCGAGAAGTGAGATTACTAGGTGAAAAGAGATGAACAATTTTGGAACTCTATGTAAAGTGCCAAGTAACCCTCTGAAAAGCTTGCACCCCTGGCAGAGTGCAGATGTCTGCTTCCCCACCTCCTTGGTGGTACTGAGGATTACCATGTCAAAAATCTTTGCTGATGGCTGGTTATTTTCCAAGTACTGGGATACATCTTTAAGGTGCCACACTTTATTTTCCCCCTCAAATCATCTTTAGATAAAAATGCCAAGGTGATACTAAGGTTAAGGAAAGATGAAGACTAAAACGCCAGAGCAGGGCAGCTAGCCTGCAAATCCACCTGCTGGTGGCCACATTCGCAGGTTGTTGGTGTTGACTGTTTACAAAGAGCCCTGGGGGACAGCAGCTGGGGACTGGGGGCTGGAGATGTGGACATCTGTCCCAGGCTAACTGGGGACTGGAGGCCGGGGGTGTGGACATCTGTCCCAGGCTAACTGTCATCCCTCTTTTGTTCCTAACGCAGACCTGTGCTGGCGATCGTGGAGGTGGAAGTTCAGGAAGTCGATGTGGGTGCTCGGGAGAGGGTTTTCCAGGAAGTGTCCTCCTTCCAGGGCCCCCTGGATGCCACTGTTGTAGTAAACCTTCAATCACCGACCTTAGAAGAGAAAAACGAGTTTCCAGAGGACCTGCGTACTGAGCTCATGCAGACCTTGGGGAGTTATGGGACAATTGTTCTTGTCAGGTAACTGCTCCCCTGGCTGATGTGGGTTCCAGGGGATGTCGATGAGGATCCGTGAGAGCTGCCAGGTCGTTCTTGGCATTGACTTGGAGTATCATTTATTCCAGGATCAACCAAGGGCAGATGCTGGTAACTTTTGCAGACAGTCACTCGGCTCTCAGTGTCCTGGACGTGGACGGTATGAAGGTACGCTGTACTTGGCCACACTGTGGAGTGGGGTCTGATCAATCCCTCTTTTTATGTGGGCATGTCTTCTTCCTCCTCTTGCCCTGACCTGTGCCTTTTTTTTTTTTTTTTTTTTTTTTTTTTTTCTCTGAGACAAAGTCTTGCTCTGTCATTCAGGCTGGAGTACAGTGATGCAATCACAGCTCGCTGCAGCCTTGAACTGCCAGGCTTAAGCAATCCTCCCATCTCAGCCTCTCAAGTAGCTGGGACCGCAGGCACGTGCCACCACACCCAGCTAATTTTTTTTAAATTTTGTAGAGAGAGGATCTCACTCTGTAGCCCCGGCTGGAGTGCATTGGGACAGTTATGGCTCACTATAACCTCAGCCTCCTGGGCTCCAGTCATCCTCCCGCCTCGATCTCCCAATGTGTTGAGATTACAGGCATGAGCTTTCATGCCTGGCCACCAATCTGTCTTTATGTATAGACGCCATATGCGGGAGGGAGTTTGGATTCTTCACTCTGGTTCTAAGGTGTCTCATGTCCGGCTCTAGCTACTTGCAAAATAGGGCGGAAGGGTGGGCGCAGTGGCTTATGCTTGTAATCCCAGCACTTTGTCAGGCCAAGGTGGGTAGATCACCCAAGGTCAGGAGATCGAGACCAGCCTGGCCAACATGGCGAAATCCTGTCTCTAGTAAAAATACAAAAATTAGCCAGGCGCTGGGTGTGGTGGCTTACGCCTGTAATCTCAGCACTTTGGGAGGCTGAGGCGGGCAAATCATGAGGTCAGGATTTCGAGACCAGCCTGGCCAACATAGTGAAACCCCGTCTCCACTAAAAATACAAAAATTAGCCAGGCATAGTGGCAGGTGCCTGTAATCCCAGCTACTTGGGAGGCTGAGGCAGGAGAATCACTTGAACCCAGGAGGCAGAGGTTGCAGTGAGCCGAGATCGCACCATTGCACTCCAGCCCAGGCAACAGTGTGAGACTCTGTCTCCAAAAAAAAAAAAAAAAAAAAAAAAAGTAGCCAGACATGGTGGCGCGTGCCTCTAGTCCCAGCTACTCAGGAGGCTGAGGCAGGAGAATCGCTTGAACCTGGGAGGCAGAGGTTACAGTGAGCTGAGATCGTGCCACTGCACTCCAGCCTGGGTGACAGCGAGACCCTGTCTCAAAAAACCAAACAAACAGAATGGGGAAGAAGAATGTCAGTCACTGTGTCTCACGTTGGAAGGCAGCTCTACCAGCAGCTGCAGAAGCTTAGCCATTTTAGAGTGTAGTTCTCGCCGAGTTACTTGATCTGTCTATGCTCGCACTGCCATGTGGGAGACTATTCCAGTCTTTCTCTTTAGAGTATGTATTTTGGAATATGCAGCTCATAGATAGTTTCCGTTTTTATAGTATCTTGGCTTTAAATCTGTACCAAATGGGAAGCTGGAGATGAGAGTTCAACTTTTTTTTTTTGAGATGGAGTCTTGCTCTGTCACCCAGGCTAGAGTGCAGTGGTGCAATCTCGGCTCACCGCAGCTTCCGCCTCCCGGGTTCAAGCGATTCTCCTGCCTCAGCCTCCCGAGTAGCTGGGACTACAGGCACTCACCACCACGCCCAGCTAATTTTTGTATTTTTAGTACAGATCGGGTTTCACCGTGTTGGTCAGGCTGGTCTCAAACTCCTGACCTCAAGGGATCTACCTGCTTCGGCCTCTCAGAGTGCTGGGATTACAGGTGTGAGCCACCGCACCCAGCCCAGTTCAACTTTTTTTTCAACCAGATGTATGAGAGCTATGCTGAGCCTGCGTGAGGTCTGGACCCTTGGTTTTTCAGGGCCAAATGTGAAGATTGGCCTCGTTGAGGGTGTGTGGGTTTTGGTGAGAAGCATTGTGTGATCAACAGGAGGGGTCATGATTTTTATTTATTCCTGGGTGGCCGCTCTGCCCTCCCAGGTGAAAGGCAGAGCAGTGAAGATTAGACCGAAGACCAAGGACTGGCTGAAAGGTTTGCGAGAGGAGATCATTCGGAAACGAGACAGCATGGCCCCCGTGTCTCCCACTGCCAACTCCTGTTTGCTGGAGGAAAACTTTGACTTCACAAGTTTGGACTATGAGTCAGAAGGTTAGTGACCCTGCAGGGAGGGACAGGCAAGCCGTTCTTCTAGCAACAGGCCTGAGCTTTTAAGGACACCTTCTAAAGCCTCCCTTGCAGAAGTGACGGAGGACACCCGCAGGGCAAGCCCTCTGTCCCATGTGATGAGCATGTTTGTATGTGTGGACGATGCATGCCATGCTACCTGGGACCCGAGGCATCTAAACTTAGGCTACAAACAGTGGCTATGAGGATATCAGGGCTGTGGGTGTACCAATGGAACTGGGGTACCGTCCCTGCTGGCGCCTGGGCCCTGAGCTGCAGGGCAGGGTGCACGTGTCCTGACAGGAGCTGAACCAGTCCCACTGATGGAAGACTGAGCCTTTCCCCCTCATTGTTTTCACCCGAATTGTGATTCATTTCCTTCTCCCAGGGGATATTCTTGAAGACGATGAAGACTACTTGGTGGATGAATTCAATCAGCCTGGAGTCTCGGACAGTGAACTCGGGGGAGACGACCTCTCTGATGTCCCCGGCCCCACAGCACTGGCTCCTCCCAGCAAGTCACCTGCTCTCACCAAAAAGAAGCAGCATCCAACGTACAAAGGTAGCCTGACCCTTCTTTTCTCAGGAGCCTCAGCGATGGAGTCAGCTCAGGACAGACTTTCCTTTTTCTCTTGGCGATTGGGCACTGTGTGATATCAAGTATGCAGGTCCCAGGAGAGACCTCAACCAGGCAGGCCAAGCGAGGGGTAGGGACTGAGCCCTGTGGAGGTAGCCAGCTCCAACACCCTGATTTCCTCTAGTTAGTTTATTTTTTTACAATAACTTGTACCCCCATAACACACCAGATTCAAGATAATTCTTGTTTCCTCTGGATATTCAAATGGCCACGGTTCTGAACTGGTTTTATATTTGTGATTATTTCCCGCCCCCAACAAAACTCTTCTGATTCAGCCAGGCGCAGTGGCTCACACCTGTAATCCCAGCACTTTGGGAGGCCGAGACAGGTGGATCGCTTGAGGTCAGGAGTTCAAGACCAGCCTGGCCAACATGGTGAAACCCTGTCTCTACTAAAAATATTTTTTAAAAATTAGCAGGGCATGGTGGTGCACATGCCTGTAATCCCAGCTACTCAGGCAGCTGAAGCAGGAGAATCGCTTGAGCTGGGGAGGCAGAGGCTGCAATGAGCCGAGATCGCCCCACTGCACTCCAGCTTGGGTGACAAAGTGAGATTCCGTCTCAAAACAACAACAACAAAAAAACTTCTGATTCAATCCCAGTAGAGACATAATCCATATCTATGTCCTGAGTTGCTGGCGTATGGTCACACTCATATAATATCATATTATTATACAGTCATGTCATACGGTCACATCATTGTATCATTTTAGACTTCAGAGGGCCTGAAAGGTCACATTGATTGAACCACACACCCCTAGATTAAATAATACAACTTTTTTTTTTTTTTTGAGACAGGGTCTCACTGTCTCCCAGGCTGGAGTGCAGTGATACAATCTCAGCTCACTACAACCTCCACCTCCCAGGCTCAAGCGATCCTCCCACCTCAGCCTCCCAAGTAGCTGGGACTACAGGGTTGCACCAGCATGCCCAGATAATTTTTTGCATTTTTTGTAGAGACGGGGTCTCACTATGTTGTCCAAGCTGGTCTCAAACTCCTGGGCTCAAGTGACCCTCCTACCTGGGCCTTCCAAAGTGCTGGAATTACAGGTGTGAGCCACTGCACCTGGCCAGTAACTGTTCTGAGTAACTTTTAAAGCCCACTAATGTTACGTGGCTGGCAGGTCGGGTAGTTCATATTTCAGTGTCAGCTACATTGATGCTGTTCCATTCATAGCCAGGCATGCCTCTAGCTGTCAATCACTGAGCCCCGAGTTGGAGGACAGCTCTAACCAGCAGGTGCAGGAGCTTAGCCACGCATTGGGCCCATTGAGCTGGGGCTGAGAGCAGAGAACAGGGCTGAAAGTGGATTAAGGTACCTCTCAGGGAGGGTACTTTGCCAGGAGAGGTGCGAAGACCTCCAGCCCCTTTGACCGTACGCTGGTCCCCACACTGACCAATAACTTGCCTATACCGAACCATCAGGAGCTTTTAAACTTATGGATTTTTGAGCCCTACCAGAGAGATCTGGATTTGGTAGGAGTGGGGTGGGACCCTGGAAGCCTGGCGTTTCACCAAGCTTTCCAGGTGGTTTGGACGCACAGCTAGGTTTGGGGACTTCTGCCCAAGACTGAAGCAGCAGCCTTCGCCGGAGCATCGCGGTGGTTCTGCACGTTGCTCCTGCCAGGGGCTTCTGCCCGGGAGTTGAAGTGGCTGGAGGGATGTGCTCTTCCCATAAGAAGGACCTTTCTCTCGGGGGTGGCCGTCATGCAGGCAGCCTCTGGAGCCAGTGCAGGTGTGAGCACAGATAGTCCTTTGCATGAAGAAACTAATAGCGCAACACGGGACACGTGGGTGGCTTTGCTACCTGGTGGGCATTGAGAGGGTCTTCCCTTGATGCTGTGGGGTGTTCAGCCATTCCCATTTGTAGGAGAAATCCTGCCTTTCCCCAGTTCCAGTCTCCAGGACACATGGGGTGGAGCTGCTGGATACAGGGAGTGGGGTGTCCGAGTCAAAGTGAAATGGAGAGGCCCATGCTTTGGGGGAGCCCTAGGGCTGCTGATTTGATCTGTAAGGAAGCAGGAGCTGTGCCTCCTGAAAACCCCTCAGCCTCTTGGAAGGTGTGTGCAGGGCAGGTCAAGATGGCAGACCCTTGGGAGTGGCCAGCCATGGGCCCACAGGGTTTGGGATTTGATGAGTAAGCAGGACCCCTGGTCCTAGGCACTGGCCACTGCATGCCAGGCTGCTCTGCTGCCAGAGCAGGGAGAACACCCTCAGCTTCCTCAGCCGGTGTGTTCTAGAGTGAGGAATTGAAAACATCTGCCTGTGGTTGGTTGACTCTTCAGGGGTTGTGGTTTGCAACTGTCTCCTCCACTCTGCCCAAGTCTTGTTATTTCACAAGAAAACACACTTTGAAATAGCTCAGTGTCTCTCAAGTCTGAGAAATACCCATTATCCATGGTTCACTGAATGTTCCAAGCAGGCACTGGGTGCCCTCCCCGCCCCCGCCCCTCGCCGGCAGACAGAGGTGCCCGTTTCTGGACAGAGCCTTCAGCTGTCCTACAGCAGGTCCCCCTGCCACAGTCGGCCTCCTGTGCTCAGATCCGTGTCTGACACGCTCACGTGTGGAACAGACCATTGTACTCATGCCCCGCCATGTCCTCCAGATGACGCGGACCTGGTGGAGCTCAAGCGGGAGCTGGAAGCCGTCGGGGAGTTCCGCCACCGTTCTCCGAGCAGGTCTCTGTCGGTCCCCAACCGGCCTCGGCCACCTCAACCCCCGCAGAGACCCCCCCCTCCAAGTAAGACTCTGCTTGCTTTCAGCTCCCTGGATGCCTGCCAGGAATAACCGCGCGTTCCCTGCTACTGAAAACACGGCTCCGAATCCACTTCTCCCCGGCCTTCCGGTCCCCACAGGGCTTCCTCCTCCTTGGGCTCCGTTTTGTTGTAAATCCAGGACACGTTTGACGTCAGGGCTGGTTGTGTTTCTCATGGCAAATGAAACAGCTCCTTTCCAAAGCTGCTGTTCACCCTGGAGCTGTGCTATTGCTTCAAACTGCTCTCCCTTGGCAGCATTAGAGGATGCAGAATGGGGGCCGCAGCCATGGGAGGGACGTGAGCTTCGCAGTCAGAAGTCTCTCCTCAGCTGCTGCGCAGTCCTCCCTCTACTTATGAGGAATCTGGTAAACCCAGGTCCCCGCCTGGAGGTGACCTGGTCACCCCTCTGCGCTCCGAGGCCTCCTGTTCCCCGGGCTCAGAACAAGTTCCCCCTTATCCTGGGTCTAGGAGCATTTTCTTCTGGTTGTTCGAACAATGCTTTGCCCGTCCAGCCCTCCCTGATAACCTGAAAGCAAAGCTGTGATGTGCTTTTGATCCACTTGCATTTTCCCACCACTGTTTACTTCTCCCTCCCCAAAAATGTGATGATCAGACTTAGATCTTCCTAAGCCATTACTTCAGAATTGGGCTCATTGTGGCTGACGTCACGGTAGTAACCAATGGCAAGCCACAAGCCCAGATATAAAAATAACCCAAAAATAAAATGCATAAGTCATGTATTATTGTGGAAATTTTAGAGATAACTACAAAGAAGAACAAAATTTTAAAATTCACTTGATGACCTACGGGTCGTAGTTGTTGAAAAAAGTCTTCTTTTTCCAGTTTCATGTATCTGCAGCAACATACTTCTTTTTTTTTTTTTTTTTTTTTAACAAAATTAATACCCATTTTCTCTGGTCGGTTGTCTTTTATTTAATGGGTTATATTTTCTGTGTCATTGAATGTTCTAAAACATGATTTGTTAATGGCTGCAAGTATATTTTAACAGTTTATTCCCCTGCTTTGGAATTTTTTTTTTTTTTTTTTTTTTTTTTTTTTTTTTTTTTTTTTTTGAGATGGGCTCATTCTGTCCCCCGGGCTGGAGTGCAGTGGTGCGATCTCACAGCTCACTGAAGCCTTGACCTCCCCGGCTCAAGCAATCCTCCTACCTCAGCCTGCCAAGTAGCTAGGACTGCAGGCGCATACCATCAGGCTTGGCTATTTTTATTCATTTATTTATTTATTTTGTAGAGACAGTTTCACCATGTTGCCCAGGCTGGGGTTTTTGAAATATTTTTTCCCCACAAAATATTTTAAAAATCTGGTCCTAGCAATAGTATTTGGAACCATTTCAAAATCAATTGGTTTTTATATCAGATCTGAATCCCCCAAGATGTTAAAGTTTGCATTCTAGTAATGCTTCTCCAGATCATCTACATCAATAGGCACACACTGGTAGAATCAAGTGAGAAACTCCATAGAGAGTCAAGGAAGGCCTGGCTCTGTGGGTGCCCTAAGTGCCGAGTGAGTATTCGGACCTCACCGTGTCTGTGGTCTGCTGGGACATCCGCCTCGTCTAGTCGGGCTCCTGGCAGCTGGCTGGGAAGTTGTGCCTTCACTGAGATTGAGACTCTGCCCTCGTTGGTTTTTACAGCCGGTTTAATGGTGAAAAAGTCGGCTTCAGATGCGTCCATCTCCTCCGGCACCCATGGACAGTATTCAATTTTGCAGACGGCAAGACTTCTACCAGGAGCACCTCAGCAACCTGTGAGTTCTTCTGCATACATTTCAATCCCAAGGGTTTTGCCCCCGGGATAGTGTGGGATCTCTCTTCTCAGTGAATATATAGATTTATGTGTCTTTAACCCTCTACCTGCTCACCATCTCATCTCCAAACCCCATAACCCTTCCTCGCAGGTTCTCCATAGGGCTTTTAAATGGTTGTATGGAGTGTTCTAGAAAAAATCACTTTTGATGAAAAATCCCAAATATCCCTGGTTTCCATACTCATCCATTTCTCTCTCTTCCCATTCTTGCCTCTGACCTTGGTGTATGGGCAGAGCATTGCTTGGTAGAAGGGAAAATGGGAGAAATTCAGGTCGTTATCCTGGGAAAATGATGATCATTCTGGAGTGAAGTTGGTTGAGAGAAGAGGCTAAAAAGAGATGTAAATAATGAAGTTGGGGAACACACTAGGAAGACTAACAGCCATAGAGGATTGTGGAGGTGCCTGGTTCCAGAGGGTACCATGAGCTGCTGGGGAAGAGAGCAGGTGAAGGCAGGGAAGTAGAGGGGAGAGAGGGGAAGCTGGGTGCTAGGGGGAAACTGCTATGACCGGGATGCCTCTGGGGTGCTGGGCCTGGTTAAGTGCTTGTGCGGCCCCAGCAGGTGGAGGGGTGACTGGAGGCCAGTGTTTTACAGTAGTGAAAATAGGTCATAAAGGCAACCCACATGCTGGATGAAGAAGTAGAAAAAGCACTTTTAAGGAAGGTATTTTAACAACTCAGTGGGACCATGGAAAGAGTGGCCTCTTATTTTGCTTTCTGGCTTTCACCTGGTTATTGAAAAAAAGATAGAAGATGGTCTGTCCATATGCAAAAATCTGTAATCACCCGGCTTTGAAGACCAGGGTCATCAGGTCTAAGTAGTATGGCACTCTTGGAAAGAGAGTGCTCCAGGAAAGAGAGGATTGCAGGGTGTGGTGGAGGCTGGAGTTTGTATGGTCAGCATCGTCTGGTGGAGCCCTGCACAGACCCACGGGTAGCAGATACGTCCCACGAGGCTGTCCTCCTGCCTCTGCTGATACTCTGCTCTTCCTCATTCTGTCCTCAAGCCCAAGGCTCGGACTGGAATAAGTAAACCTTATAATGTCAAGCAGATCAAAACCACCAATGCCCAGGAGGCAGAAGCAGCAATCCGGTGTCTCCTGGAAGCCAGAGGAGGTAGGTGCTTTCCTGGGGGCAGGGGAAAAACCAATTCTCCTTTTCTTTTTATCTCCCTGCTAAAAGTGGTCTAGAAACGAAAATAACTCTTTTTATTCTTCTGGAGGCAATATTAAATGAAAACATCCTTTAGCAACATTTTATATAAATCTATACTAAGATTGATTGTCCATTTAAAATTGTATTTTCAAAATTCTGTGTGTATATAAAAATCATCCCAGGGCTATTAAGCGGCGTCTAAAGGAGAGACCGAAAAAAACCAAAATGAGTTTTTAAAAAAGGTGAATGCTGCCGGCATGAAGTCATTCTGCCAGCTTTATAAAACAGAGACAGTTATAGTGTTTGTCCTAATTTCAGGCACAAAATCTACCTTTTAAATCACTGGCAAGTGGAAATAAAGTTTTTAGTGTCAGGCAGGGACCTCTTTCCCACCACATTATTTTTTGTTGCTGTTACTTAAACCATGTTAGTTACCTTGGGCTCTCCCCCACTTCATTCATAATCACTGGTAATTTACACTTTTAGTTTTGGCCTTGGCTTTGTTCCAGAATCTCCTAGAGAGGAGAGTGTGCCCTTTTCTTCGTTTTTTTTTTTGTTTTTTTTTTTTTTTTTTTTGAGACTGAGTTTCACTCTGTCAGCTGGACTGGAGTGCAGTGGCTCAATCCCAGGTCACTGCAACCTCCGCCTCCCAGGTTCGAGCAAATATCCTGCCTCAGCCACCTGAGTAGCTGGGACTACAGGCGCGCAGCCCCATGATGAGCCAATTTTTGTATTTTCAGTAGAAATGTGATTTCACCTTGTTGGCCAGGCTGGTCTTGAACTCCCAACCTCAGGTGATTCATCCACCTTGGCCTCCTAAAGTGCTGGGATTACAGGTGTGAGCCACCACACCTGGCCGAGTGTGCCCTTTAAAAAGGTGTAAGCAATCACCATTGCTTAATTTGCTTTTAGTCAGCATGTTTAACTTCTTTGGAATTCTCAAATAATATTTAAGGGGGCATGAGTTAAAAGGTCGAGAACTACTGTTGTAGAATGATACTGCTACAAATGCTTTCTTTTTTTTTATTTTAGAAAAATAACTAAAACTAGGCCGGGCGCGGTGGCTCACGCCTGTAATCCCAGCACTTTGGGAGGCCGAGGCGGGTGGATCACGAGGACAGGAAATCGAGACCATCCTGGCTAACACGGTGAAACCCCGTCTCTACTAAAAATTCAAAAAATTAGCCGGGCGTGATGGTGGGTGACTGTAGTCCCAGCTACTCAGGAGGCTGAGGCAGGAGAATGGCTGAGCCCGGGAGGTGGAGCTCGCAGTGAGCCAAGATTGCACCACTGCACTCCAGCCTGGGTGACAGAGCAAGACTCCGTCTCAAAAAAAGAAAAAAGAAAGAAAGAAAAATAACTAAAACTATGGATATAACAACCCAAGTGTCCATCAGCTGATAAATGGATAAACAAAATGTGGTCCATCAATACAATGGAATATTGTTCAGCCATTAAAAAAAAAAAGAATGGGGCTGGGTGCTGGGTGCAGTGGCTCACGCCTGTAATCCCAGCGCTTTGGGAGGCCGAGGCAGGCGGATCACGAGGTTAGGAGATCGAGACCATCCTGGCTAACACAGTGAAACTCCATCTCTACTAAAAATACAAAAAAATTAGCCGGGCGTGGTGGCACGTGCCTGTTAGTCCCAGTTACTCGGGAGGCTGAGGCAGAAGAATCATTTGAACTGGGGAGGCAGAGGTTGCAGTGAGCCAAGATAACGCCACTGCACTCCAGCCTGGGTGACAGAGCTAGACTCTGTCTCATAAAAAAAAAAAAAAAAAAGAATGAAGTGCTGATACATACTACTTCATGGGTGGACCTTGAAGACATTATACTATGTGAAAGAAAGAAAAAAAGGCCACATAGTGTACCATCCCCTTTTTATGAAATGGCCACAGCAGGCAAATTCATGGGGTCAGAAAGTTCTTCTTGCTTTCCAGGGACTGGAAGGAGGCCTGGGTGGGGAGTGGCTGCTGTGGGGCTTCTTTTTTGTGTGATGAAAATGTTCTGGAGTTAGATCGTATGATGGTTGCACAACTTTGTGGATACACTAAAAACCAATGAATGGTACACTTAGAAAGGGTGAATTTCACGGTATGTGAATTATGTCACAATAAAGCTGTTAAAAAAAAAAAAACTCTAGAGATGTAGATGTTAGTAGAGGTGTGAAATCTACCTACAGTCCCGGCTTAACACTTTCTTGGTCATGGCCCCATTGAGATTTTGATGTCTTTGGATCATCTACCCTGAGAAATGTAAGTACACATGAGACTTTGCATATGATCTCAGGGTCTCACTGGTCCCCATCCAAACTATCCACAGACCCCAGATCACCACCCCTGCTAGGAAGGTGAGCATGAAAACCTGGGACTGCTGGGTGCGGTGGCTCACGCCTGTAATCCCAGCACTTTGAGAGGCTGGGGTGGGAGGACTGCTTGAATCCAGGAGTTCGAGACAAGTCTGGGCAACACAATGAGACCCTCTCTCTACAAAAATTTTAAAATTAGCTGGGCGTGGTGGTTCACACCAGTAGTCCCAGCTACTTGGGAGGCTGAGGTAAGAAGACTGCATGAGCCCAGGAGTTCCAGCAACATAGTGAGACCTCATCTCTACTAAAAATTTTAAAAATTGGCTGGGCGTGGCAGTGCTCACCCGTAATCCCAGCTACTCAGGAGGCTGAAATGGGAGAATTGCTCGAGCCTGGGAGGTTGAGACTGCAGTGAGCCGTGATCATGCCGCTGCACTCCGGCCTGGGTGGCAGAGCGAGAGCCCATCTTAAAAAAGAAAAAAGAAAAAAAGCTGGGACTGAATCTAGCTGATTACTCCTGAAATACACTGAATTAGTAAATGACACTTAGGATGTAGACTGTCTAAGGACGAAATCATGCAGTGAATTGCCTTGTCCTTTACACTTCAGCCATGTGGTTTTATGTTTCAGGTGCCTCCGAAGAAGCCCTAAGTGCCGTGGCCCCAAGGGACCTTGAAGCATCCTCTGAACCAGAGCCCACACCGGGGGCAGCCAAACCAGAGACCCCACAGGCGCCCCCACTCCTTCCCCGTCGGCCCCCACCCAGAGTTCCTGCCATCAAGAAGCCAACCTTGAGAAGGACAGGAAAGGTAAAAGCCTGGTAACATAAAACCTCTTACTCCTAAGTTGCTCACATGTCTCGATAGATAAGAATTGTGGCCTGTAATCCCAGCACATTGGGAAGCCGAGGCAAGCGGATTACGAGGTCAGGAGTTCAAGACCAGCCTGACCAACATGGTGTGAAACCCCGTCTCTACTAAAAATAGAAAAATTAGCCGGGCGTGGTGGCGCACGCCTGTAATCCCAGCTACTCAGGAGGCTGAGGCAGGAGAATCACTTGAACCCAGGAGGCAGAGGTTGCAGTGAGCCGAAATCGTGCCACTGCATTCCAGCCTGAGCAGCAGAGTGAGACTCCACCTCAAAAAAAAAAAAAACAAAAAAAAAAAAACAGATTTGCGTCTCACAGATAAAAATCTAGTTCCCTATGGACATCCTCACGTTCATGAGTCCCAGACACAGGTGTGTCTTTGGGGAAAGTTTTGACAACTGCTTCTTCCCTCATATCCTACTGTGTCTTGGCTCTGGCTGAGAAGAACGAGGAGTCCACTGTCTGGCACATTGTCAGTGTGACAAGAACAGCTTGGAGGTATTATGCTTCCTAAGTGTTTTGAGTCCCCAAAGGGAACCATAGTGGGATGCTTTTCCCCACATGTTCTGGTACCGCCCATTTGCGTGTGGTCTGTGTTGTGTGCACATGGTTTCAAGGCATTAGGAAAACAGTAACCGATTCCCAGATTCGCCATGTTCACATGCTCTCGTGCGGCCTCAGCCTACGAGAGGTTCCACAGCTTTTCTTGCCACTTTTCTTGCAGATTGTTTTTTGCTCTCGCTCTCAAGCTTCTCAGCCTTGCTTACTGCTTCAAAGACATGAGTTTGTAAGGACAGTAGCAGCCCAAAGACTGGCATCTGTAGACACATCTGGATCTTCCGTTTGATCTCAGTGTTCTAGTAACGGACCCTCGGTAATCCCTTCCTGGTCATCACAGCACGATGCTGCTTCCCCCCTAGAGAGTGTGAGGGGGGCTTCGGCTTCACTCTTGACAGCGCTTGCTTTGTATTTCCTGGGTTGCTCTTCTGTCCCACATTGGCTCATTGCCATCTGTCCCTTGTCCATGCTTCCTTACAAAGTGGACCTTTTTCCTCCGCCTCTTCCCTGTTCAGATGCTCCTCGACTTAAAATGGGGTTACATCCCAATAAACCCATCGTAAGTTGAAAAATAGCGTGTCAAAACTGCATCTCATACACCTAACCTAGCAAACGTCATGGTCTCGCTGACCTTGAACACACTCAGAACACATACATTAGCCTACGGCTGGGCAAAAAAAAAAAAAAAAAAAAAAAACACCCATCCAACACAGCCTATTTTATAATAATAAAAATAAAAGATCAAACTTCAAAATTCAAAGTATGCTTTCTACGGAACATTAGCGCTTGTGCACTAGGGTGAAGTGGAAAATCCTCAGTGGAACCATTGTAAGTCGGGGACCACCTGCTTTGTCTTTTCTTGTAAAAGCCAGGAGCAGAAATAGATTCATTTTCCCAACCTGCTGCACAGGAGTTAAAGTTAAAAGGCTGTTGGAAAAGAGACTTTCTTTTTTCTTAGTTTGTTTTCTAAAGAACCAAAGAAACACTGAAACGCCAATGTTTAACTAGTCTACTGATCACCTTTTCTGAACAAAAGCTTCATTTTGCCTGTGCAGTTGTTTTCTTTGTGATAGATTTGAACCAGAACCAAGGCAGTGTCAAGGTTTCCATTCTTTACCAATATTTAAGTATAAAAGATTCAAGGAGCTGGGCGCGGTGGCTCACGCGTGTAATCCCAGCACTTTGGGAGGCTGAGGCGGGTGGATCACCTGAGGTCAGGAGTTCAAGACCAGCCTGACCAACATGGTGAAACCCCGTCTCTACTACAAAATACAAAAATTAGCCAGGCATGGTGGCAGGCGCCTGCAATCCCAGCTACTCGGGAGGCTGAAGCAGGAGAATCGCTTGAACCTGGGAGGCGGAGGTTACAGTGAGCTGAGATTGCGCCATTGCACTCCAGCCTGGGGGACAGGGCGAGACTCCTTCTCAAAAAAAAAAAAAAAATTCAAGGAGAAAGTATATCCATTAGTCCTTCAGTTAGCTTATGTTGTAACACAAGTTACTTCACCCTAGCATGATACAGACCATGAATCAGCCCAGGTTGCAACTTCAAAGAGTGTTTTCAGAGAGGTTTGCTTTCAATAAAGGAAGAGCATCACCCCATTTCCTAAAGGACAAAGAAAAGTTTGTCTGATTATTTACTGTGGCCCTGGTTTTAAATTTTCCACTCGTTTTCATTGGACCTGCTGGTGTGACCTGATAAATGTGTGTTTCTCCTGTGCTTTTTCTTTTTCTTACCTGGTCACATTTCTGGCACCCCACACATTCTCAAATCTCGAATTTGCTAGAATGTCAGCTTGGTCTCATCTCTGTTCTCTGCTGGCCACTCTGTTCTCTGATCCTCAGCTGCCTAGTTATTGGCTTCTTATTTACACTCTTTGTCCCACCTTTTCTCAGCCCCTGTCACCGGAAGAACAGTTTGAGCAACAGACTGTCCATTTTACAATCGGGCCCCCGGAGACAAGCGTTGAGGCCCCTCCTGTCGTGACAGCCCCTCGAGTCCCTCCTGTTCCCAAACCAAGAACATTTCAGCCTGGGAAAGCTGCAGAGAGGCCAAGCCACAGGAAGCCAGCATCAGACGAAGCCCCTCCTGGGGCAGGAGCCTCTGTGCCACCACCTCTGGAGGCGCCGCCTCTTGTGCCCAAGGTACCCCCGAGGAGGAAGAAGTCAGCCCCCGCAGCCTTCCACCTGCAGGTCCTGCAGAGCAACAGCCAGCTTCTCCAGGGCCTCACTTACAATAGCAGTGACAGCCCCTCTGGGCACCCACCTGCCGCGGGCACCGTCTTCCCACAAGGGGACTTTCTCAGCACTTCATCTGCTACAAGCCCCGACAGCGATGGCACCAAAGCGATGAAGCCAGAGGCAGCCCCACTTCTTGGTGATTATCAGGACCCCTTCTGGAACCTTCTTCACCACCCTAAACTGTTGAATAACACTTGGCTTTCTAAGAGCTCAGACCCTTTGGACTCAGGAACCAGGAGCCCCAAAAGAGATCCCATAGACCCAGTGTCAGCTGGCGCTTCAGCTGCCAAGGCAGAGCTGCCACCAGATCATGAACACAAAACCTTAGGTCACTGGGTGACAATCAGTGACCAAGAAAAGAGGACAGCACTGCAGGTGTTTGACCCACTGGCAAAAACATGACTGAGCAGCTTTGAAGGCTGCAGTCCTATAGAATGCATACCTTCCTCCCTCTAGACATCCCTCCACCAGAAGAGACATCTATTTAAAGGCACACTGGCCAAAACGTTTGTGCATCTGTCACTCTCGTGTAGTTTACAAAAATCGTGTCTCTTATTCAGTAAGATGGTTACTCAGCCACCAAAATATATTTCACTCAAGGCTTGTACATCTGAAGTTTGCTCTTCAAGGAATGGGAACCTTCCTGTTAAATTCGGTGTATGGATTTTAAGAAAGGAATCTAGCCAATGAGGTCCAAGAAGTTCTCACCCATTGAATTTTTAAATGGCTGTTCAGTTCATGTTGTACGTGATGGAGATTTGTCTTTTGTTTTATTTGCATTTTACAGATTTGGTATAACATTTTGGGGAGCCACCTGAAGGTTGATGTATAAAGTAAGGATTAGAGAAAGAGGTCGTTGTGACCATTAGTAGCTGTCCTGGCCCACTTAAACAAGGTTACAAAAAATCAGAGTCGGAAGCAGCCAAATAGGTCAACCTAATGACTAGACTGTACATTCCCATGAGCCTTCATGTTTAAGTGTGTACATGTGCGTTAACCTTGATGATGCGTGAATCCCGAGGGAGCCGGTGGCATACACCGTTAGCTTAACCTTAGCTTAAACTAGCTGAAGGCTCCTGTGCCATGTCTTAGACATTGCATGCCCTATCAATTACTATAATCCTGAGCCATGGTGTGCTACTGAAACCAATTTTTATCCACCATCTAGTCCTTATTAAATGAAACCTCACGGATCCTTTGTTCCGCTTATATTCCATGCATACCACATAAAAGCACACAGTGCGAAAACTCTTGCTGATACGCGATATTGATTCTCATTGTTAGAATATGGAGAGTGTTTCAGCCTCGTCTGTCCGGCTGGAGCTTCGGGATGGAAAGTGCTATGTGTCCCTGCATATAAGAATCACCAGGCCAGTGTTTCTGGGTTTGCTTGTCTATATGTTTGTCTATATTTTTTGCCTATACATTTTTCCCACGTTTCCAACAGCACTTCTCACCTATTCAATAACTGAAAAAGACATTACCATAGTGCTTTACATTTTTAAAGTAATGTTACAAGGTCTGGAATCCATTTGGAGCAGATACCGTGTTTTCGCTATTTAATAAGAAGTTCAGTAGTGAAATCTTACTGTACCGCCTGTTGTATCTGGGAGCCTCGTACAGAGGCTCGCACAGCAGTGATCAAGTGTCATCCCTTACGTGACTGGGGGATGTCTGTCCTAAAAGCTGACTGCTAGGATAGTAAGGATCATCTTGCCTGGGCTATGCCACTGTCTTGTTACCAATTAGACATCTGGAATTTCATAATTAGTTTTCATTGTCACTGTCAAGATATATTGCAGATTACTTAAATATGGCCATCAAAACAAAAGTTACAACACGTATCTCTTTTCATCTGAAAACTAATACCTGGAAAAGGATAAAAAAAAAAAGGAATCCGTGACCCACAGAGCTAGACAGATAAGATGCATAGTTGACCAGTCATAAAAGGCGGTGTTTAGGTGATCAGGATGCCGTTGGTGGCATTTACGTGCTTTATATGATTTTTACCTCTGTAACAAACACAAGAAATAAACAGAATGGTCCTTAACAGAGTTTGGGGGAGAGAGCAAGATGGGTTCCTTGGAGAAGCTGATTTGCCAAGATGCACATCGCTATTAACAGCCAGAGTCATAAATGAAATGAAATTGAAGAATTCATTCAAATGCTCTTTTCCCTATAACCTCTTTTCTCACCAAAAAGGAGATAAATTTGAAAACAGATAAATGTAACAACCAGTCAAAGAAGCAGGGGAAAAGTAAGCTCCTCCAAAGTTGCTTGCAGTGCTGGAAATAGATCTCATTTTTAGGTTTTCTCTTCGTTCCAGATACCAAATAAATGGGACAGAGAATAAAATTTTTGTTAAAATATGTGCTCATCTCCTAAGTAGCTCTTCAGAGTCTGACCGTAAGTAAAAACACACAGAATTGTGTTGACTGGGGGAGGTGAATCACAAAAAAGTTACGAGGAGTTTAAGAGTTAAATATTATTTGATCGTGGCTGTCAAATTTAGTGAACAACATAGATTGGATTTGGAGTTGGTAGTAGGTATGGTTCTCATACCAGAATTCTCTTAAAAAAAAAAAAAAGGACAATTGGAATTGCCTTATTTATTTTTAAAATCAATGCTTACTAGTTGGTAGGATTCCCAGGTCAGCAGCAGGGTTGATTAAATAATCTTGACAATGAGCAGCTGCCATCTTGGGGGATTTCATTCTGTGGTTTTTTAAATGTTTCGTCTTTGATGCTACCATCCAGGGCTTCTTATTGTGACCTTGTAGCCTATTTTGTTCCTGCTGTTCTCTAACATGGTGCAGTTCACGCAGACTGGTTTAGGTACTTCACAACTCACCATTGTCTCTCTGACCCCAAGCCTAGTCCCTTTTACATCACCATCTTCTCAGACTTCTTGCCTATTCTTAAAATATGTTTTGGTTAATGATTGAATTAGGACATCAGCTTAAGCAATTCCTGTAACGGTTTAACGTTGTTGAAGTTCAAGGCACATAATAAAATTCTCCCTGATGTGTGTGTAAGTATAAACAAAGTAATGTATCAAAGCGTTCACTTTATAATGAAGTCATTTCATTGGGAAGGAAAGCTGCAAAGATTATTGGGGGACTAGTGATTAATAAAATCCTGTAATATTTTTGAAGTGAAAATTTGTACTGAAATTGTACATGATACCTATTAAATGTTTTTGTCTTTTTTTAAATTGGGTTTATTTCTTTTCAGATATGAAGAGAACCTTAGAATATCTTTGGCTACCTTCTGTTCTGGATCAAATGTAATTACTGGTTATTTAGTAATTCCTCTTGAGTTTCGGGTTTTGGTTTTTTGTTTTTTTTGTTTTTGTTTTTGTTTTTTTTGGAGACAGTCTCACTCTGTCGCCCAGGGTGGAGTGCAGTGGTGCGATCTTGCTCACTGCAACCTGCAGTGAGCAACCCGGGTTCAAGCAATTCTCCTGCCTCAGTCTCCTGAATAGCTGGGCTTACAGGCATGTCCCACCATGCCTGGCTAATTTTTTTGTATTTTTAGTAGAGACGGGGTTTCACCATATTGGCCAAGCTGGTCTCAAACTCCTGACCTTGTGATCCGCCTGCCTAGGCCTCTCAAAGTGCTGAGATTACAGGTGTGAGCCACTGCGCCCAACCGGTTCGTTTTTTTAACTATTAAATTAAGTTCAAAAACCAGAAAAGTAATCATCTGGTTAAGAATTTATGACTTGAATGCTGCTAGCAGGGAATACTGCCATAACATATAATAACTTTATGCTACTTAGAGATGCTAGAATTCATTTTCTGTACGATTTTATAGCAAACTTATAAAAACTGAACTGCTAGCTTGAGTCCATTACAGCATAGAAGCAGGAGACGGAAGTAAACACTTCAAGTTCTGTCTAGGTTTGCTCTAAGCTAATTAATACAATATAGATCATAAATGTTCTCTGATGATTTTCAGGAATAAGAATAAATCTCTAATAAATATGGCTAGTCCTTCCTGACCAGTAAGGAGGCATATTGAATTTACTAAATCTGACAGCCGGTTGCAGAAACTTCCTTTTCAAGGGACTGGGGGAGATAGGTTTAAAACGCACTCTCATCCAAGGCAAATTGTTTGCATTTATCTCAATGAGGTAATAAGAGTACAAATGAGGCCAGGCACGGTGGCTCACGCCTGTAATCTCAACATTTTGGGAGGCCAAGGCGGGTGGATCACCTGAGGCCGGGTGTTTGAGACCAGCCTGGCCAACATGGTGAAACCCTGTCTCTACTAAAAATATGAAAATTAGCTGGGAGAGGTGGCACACACCTGTAATCCTCAGGAGGCTGAGGCAGGAGAATCCCTTTAAGCCCAGGAGGCAGAGGTTGCAGCGAGCCGAGATTGCACCACTGCACTCCAGCCAGAGTGTGACTCTGTCTCAAATAAATAAATAAATGAGTATAAATGAGAGAGTAATTGTGAACAGACAGGGAAGATTTGGGAGAAGAGTATTAAGAATTTTGGGCCAGGCACGGTGGCTCATGCCTGTAATCCCAGCACTTTGGGAGGCCGAGGCAGGCGGATCACGAGGTCAGGAGATCGAGACCATCCTAGCTAACACGGTGAAACCCCGTCTCTACTAAAAATACAAAAAATTAGCCGGGCATGGTGGTGGGCGCCTGTAGTCCCAGCTACTCGGGAGGCTGAGGCAGGAGAATGGCGTGAACCCAGGAGGCGGAGCTTGCAGTGAGCTGAGATCGCGCGACTGCACTCCATCCTGGGCGACAGAGTGAGACTCCGTCTCAAAAAGGAATTTTGAACTATTTTTTTAATTAATTATATTTTCAGAGCTGTTTTATGTTCACGGCAAAATTGCCCAAAAAGTAGAGTTTCCATATCCTCCCTACCCCAACACGTGCACAGCCTCCTCCACTATTGACTTCCCCCCACCAGACTGGTACATTTGTTTCAATCAATTGACTACATTGGTACATCATCCTCCCAAGTCCATAGTTTAGGGTTCACTTTTGGTGTTGCACATTCTATGGGCTTGGACAAGTGTATAATGACATGGATCCACCATTGCATTATCATGCAGAGGAGTTTACCGTAAAAATCCTCTGGGCCCCACCTATTCATCCCTCCTTCC